>NC_000009.12:105644794-105796309 GCF_000001405.40 Homo sapiens
GCTTAGCAGAAAAAGCAAATTTCTGGCATGTGACCTCATAAACAAGGGAAAAGCTCTCCTTTTAGGATGATGTCTTCTCTTACCATCTATTTCCCCATGTCTTAGTGGAAGGAGCCATCTTTTTCCCCATGTCTTAGTGGAAGACCAGAGAATTATCTAGAGCATGGTGTGATGCTGCAAATGATGTATCTGTAGCCACTAGCCACATGACTACTGAATATTTGAAATGTGGCAAGTGTAACTGAATAACTAAATATTTACTCTAATTTTAATTAATTTAAAACTAGTAGCTAGCATATTGCAGATCTATAGGGTTTTATGGGATCAGCAAGGGTTTTGGATTTGTCGACTGGAATCCAGAGCCCTCCACAGCCTAGTTCGGTGATCTTGGGCTAGCTATTCAACTTCTGAGTTCTGAATTTTTTTTCAACTAATGGGGCTAAATTAATACCTACCTTTAAAGGTTATTAAAAGAATTGTAAGAAATTGTAAGAAATCTGCAGTGTCTGGCACACTGCTCAGTACATGGTAGATGTACAGTACATGGTAGATGGTCAGTGAATGATAACTATTGTTAATATTATGTTCACATGGTTTTACATCTGCCTTTGGCATAAATCCTATCAGCTTGTATTTTCCTGATAATCTCATGTCACAATTTTTCTGTAAGATTGGTATTTCAGATCCCTCCTGGGTAGAGGCCCTATCCTGAGCACTGGTGTTAAGAAGCGACCCTGGCCTCAAGAGCACAGGTACAAGGCCTGTTCTTTGGGGAGAGAGTATGTGGGGTTAAAACATAACACTTAATGGAATTGAGTCTCAAGGACCAGGCTTAGGCAAAGAGACAAAAGTCCTAGACTTTGTAGATGGCTGTCTGAGCACCCGAGTCTAGAAAAAGCTCCAGGAAGGAGGACAGGGACTGGGTAATGAGGTTCAGCTGAGTCTTAGGACTTGTAGAACAGAAAATTTGAATAAATGAAGAAAGAAAACATTTCTGAGTAAGAGGAGTCAGTAAATTCACAGAATAGGCTTTATGGGACAGTGAATAAGACCATCTGCCATATGGATAAATAGTGAAAGATACAACTGGAAAAGTGGGCAAGGAACAGACTGCAGGAAATGAGGGGACTGAATATTCTGCTATGAAGTTTGGATATGAGAGAGAAAAGTTTTGAATAGGAGCATCATGCCTTCAATAAACACTTCTGGCCTGGTTACTACTCACCGGATCTGTCCTAAGGGTGAGGTTCGACAAACATTCAGGAAACCCCTTCAAGGATAGAGCAGGGATTTAGGAGAATTCAGATTCACCGAGACTGATCCTAGAGACCCTAGAACCCTGATAGTTGCAGGGACAGAGGATAGAAACTTAGCCAGATGGGCATAGGACCCTAGTGGTTTAAGTAAGGTCACTCCTAGGAATTATCAGTCAGTGCTAGACATGGGCACAAGCAGTCCAGAGTCAGGAAGCGCTTGAGACCAAGTGAGCAGGGGACAGTTTGGTGATGGTCTGGGAAGTGGAGCTCAAGAGCAGCATTGCAAGCCACAGAAAGGGAGTGTGATAGGACAAGGCAGGGTCTTATCCAGAGGGTTCCAGGGAATTAGAATAGGCCTTTGAGAGCCATGACAAAAGCTCATTTTGATGAATTGGGCCAGGAGAGCCAGTGAGATTCTAGGCTGTGGAGAAGACATGAAGGCAATTTTTGGAAGACAGCAGAGGAATGGAGACCAATGGTCAGTGCTAGACCTGGGCACCACAATACAGGCAATGTGAGGGATGTGGGAAAGAGGCTGGAGCCATTTCTATACCTGTCGCTTCAGTTAGAAACTAGGACAGGATAGACTTTTCACATGATGATGCCACAGGGCATAACTGAAAGCTAGGGAGAACAGAAGCCAGGAAGGGAGATAAGCTTAGTGAGGATTTTAAATTCTGGGTCTTAACTTAGTCCTCATCTCCCTATTGGCTGTTCACCTCTGGAGACTATGGGCTCCAAGGCGTAAAAAGTAATTGCTCTAGTTGTACTAGGAGAGTAGTTTGTGCTAACAACTGACCTTCTACCCTACATTTACCTCTACGAGAAGGCTTGGGACTCCAGTGGCTTTCTGGACCATAATAAAAACAAGGCCATTTTGTCTTCACTCTTCCTCGTTTCCACCCAGACAGATTCTGCTGCCTGGATAAGACAGCTCAGGCAGGGACCGCTGGCTGACGAGGCCTGGGCAAGCCTATAATCCCAGCAGAGAGCACAGGGACAATGAGTGGGAGGGGAGCCAGTCACAGGTTGTATCTTATTAAACCAGTCTGCATCAGCTACAGTGTAAGTCTCAGAAACAGATCTGAAACCCCAGCTGGTAACCTAGTTAGTTCAGGCAGCGTGTAAAGAAACCATATCCCCGCCAGCTAAAAAGATGCATGTGCTCCTGGGTAGTGCAGAAGTATCTGTTATGAAAAGCAAAGGTAACAACAGTTGTGGGAAATTAAGGTTTCCTCTGTGTGTTTTTTTATTGGTTGCATTTGAGGTGACATCCTCTAATTTTCCTAAGCACAGTGGGGCCTCCTGGAAACATCTGCTGGATTTGAGGAGTAAGGGGATGCTTCCCTCATCCTCCGGGTGTGTGTATTTGGTTTGGGATTTGTCAGGCTGGGTAGCTGAGGGCTCTGGGCAGCTTGACCTGGCAGATTTCCCCCACTTGCCTGAAAAGCAGCCTAGGGGGCAGAGGCCCCTCCCCAGCTCAGCCCTGCACCTTCACTCTAAGCGCCTGGAGCTGGGGCCTTTTATTTCAAGTCTGGTCCCCAGGGAGCAGAGTGGGAAATGAGGACAGCTGATAAGCCTGACAGTATTGACTTTATGGGGAGTATTCAATGAATTTACTTTCTGCAAGTAGGCTGCACTCTTATCTGCTGCCCACAGAGCATCTAAATCCTCATCTAGGAGACCCATCGATGAGTCACGTCCCTTACACAAAGACCAGAGAATAAAGAAGGAAAGGGGAATTCCATCCACCCCTTTCTTTTCTCCAGTACCTGGTCCTGCCCACCCCAACACCTCCCCTCGCTTTCCCCACTGCGTTTGGGTTTATTGGCTGAAAACAGAAGCACTCGCAGCTCCAGGCCTACGGAGTCAAGGCCAAGCCAGCCTGGTCTTGAGAGGTCGACAGCTGGGCACACCCAGGGCTGTATGTCCCTCTAACTGGTAACTATGGGAAGCTCACTTGAAGTAGTTGTGTGCACCGCTTTATGCTGCAACAGTCAACATTTGCTCTGGACAGAAATACCCTCACGGCTTTAACGCCAGGTGTCTTGGAGATAAAATGTGGGTGTGTGGGCGTTACCAAGGGGTCCTGGGTCTGGGGTGCTGGAGAGTGGAAGTTACATGTAAGAGAAAGGCCTGATGCGCAAGAGAAGTTTTTCTTTCCCCTCTGGCTTCTCCCTCATCCAGTCCTGGGCTCTGTTTCAAATATTAGAAAAAAATAAAAGCTTCTTAGCAGCACAGAAAGTAAGTAACTTGAAGGAGAGAGGTGGGAGCCAGAATGCTGGATTGGGCAGATGAAAGGAAAAAACTGAAAGTGCCCTTTGGCAGAAATTAGAGTCATGTGTTTAGGTTCACCATCTAGCTTTTAGACAGAGTTTTTTGGTAGTAAAAATAAAATGAAATCTCTGTATTGAGTAACTTTGGTTTCATTAGATGACTTAGCACCATTTTTTAGTATTTATTCCAAAGCACTAACTTTTTATACATTAGCTCACTGAATCTTCACAATAACCCATGAGATGATATTTCTGAGTTATAGCTGAGAAAACTGAGTCTGGGATAAGTTAAGTAACTTGCTCAGGATGACAACTATAATAGCATCAAAGCAAGGATGCAAACACCAGCCAGTCTGCCTCCAAAGCCAAGTCAAAGGTCTTCTCTTAGCTGCCACACTAAACTGCCTGCTATTTGGCATTTTTCAATATCTTATCTCAGTCCATGGCCAATCAATGAGTATTTATTATTCCCACGTTATTGGAAACAGGCTTAGCAGGATACCACTACCTGTCCAGGGCCACAAAACCAGTGTATATCAGAGACTCTGGTCCACAGAGTCTAGCATCTCTCCTAAAGGTCTCGCCCTGCTGGTGCATTGCCCACTGCTCAGGCAGAGATGTGGGCCACATCAGTGCGTTTCTCCCTTCCAGGTGCCCTGGTTTCCTGTGTCACCTGCTTTCACCTGCTGCTACTTGCTTGATAATTTTCTTAGTTGAGGGAGGTTGGAATGAGGGAGGCAGGAAGAGCCTGGGAGGATGTGAGCTGTTCACTAAGTTGCTCTGTGGGCCCTGTGAATGGAGTAGTATGAACATCCATGAGAATCTGCAGCTTCTGCAGGCTCTGGAAAGATGCCTGTCTAAAAACCGCTAGTAAAACTGAGTCAGCCATATGCTTGTTTCTTTAAGTATATGTTTTAGTATTTGACTTCTTTGGGAGAAATACATTTTTTGTTTAGGATAACTTGTTATGTAACTTTATAATTAATATTTATAATTGTTCATATTGAATAAGAAAACCTTGGTGAAATGCCTAGCATGACACTTGGCACTTAAGGTTGAATAATTGGGGCAGAGGATTAAGTTCCTGGGCCAGAGTTGATGCTTAATGTCAACCCCTCCTCAGGTCAAGCCATCATCTCCTCTTGCCTGCATTGCTTTCACGGCATCCTAACTAGTCCCCCCACCCCACCTCTTCTCTTGCCCCTCTCCATGTAGCAGACAGAATATTCTCTCCTTCTTAAAAAACAACCAGGTTGGGCGCCGTGGCTCACGCCTGTAATCCCAGCACTTTGGGAGGCCGAGGCGGGCAGATCACGAGGTCAGGAGATCGAGACCATCCTGACTAACACGGTGAAAACCCATCTCTACTAAAAATACAAAAAATTAGCCGGGCGTGGTGGCGGGCGCCTGTAGTCCCAGCTACTCGGGAGGCTGAGGCAGGAGAATGGTGTGAACCTGGGAGGTGGAGCTTGCAGTGAGCCAAGATCGCACCACTGCACTCCAGCCTGGGTGACAGAGTGAGACTCCATCTTAAAAAAAAAAAAAAAAAAAAAAACCATTCTATGGCCTTGGAAACATTTACCTCACAGAAGCAAGCTATGTGTCTGCTGACAGAAGGCAGGGCAGGCTGGAGGCAGCTGTCTGAAGAAATAAGAGCTTTCTTGCATTCATTCAACAAATATCTGATCAAGCAGCTTTTATGGGCAGTGAGCACAATTCCTGGGGTCTAGTGATGAAGGAAACTAAGTCTTTGTCCTCATGAAGTTTATAATGTAGCAAGTAAACTAGAATGAGATTTGTTTTGCAGAATTCAACATGAAGGTGGGGTCTCCTTTAAAGAAAAAAAAGAGAGAGTTAAAATAATTGAAATTTATCAAAAAGAGTTTCTTATGACCAAGAGTCACTCCCACGCACCCCAAATTAAGTATAAAGAATGGGCACAGTTTACTTTGGAAAATGCAAATTTAAAAGCAGGGGTTGTAATATTAATATAATAAAATGAAATTCATGGTAAAAAGCAAGATTTTTATATTGATATAGGCTACAATCCTCTAAGTCAATAAAAAAACTTCCTTGAGTCTTTATGCTTCAAAAGCAATGCAGCAAAAAATGTAAAGATCTAAAGCAAACACTCCCGGAAAAACAAAAAGAACAGAAACAAAATAGTAAAGGGAGATTTTCACACAGTGCTCTCTTGAATAGATCAAATAGACAAAAACTTCCAAGAATACAGATTTATTTAATGGATGTGTAAAAAGACATTTTACCATTCAAACAGAGAATATACCTCCTTTTCTAGTACCTGTGAAACATTTATAAAAGTTGAATATATGTTTTATCAAAGAGAAAATTCTCAATAAATATCCCAAAGCAAAAAACATACAGGGCATATATTTCACTATACTGCAATAAAATTAGAAACTAATAGCAAATGGTTGCCAAAAAAATACAACAACAAGAAAATTTAAAAACACTTTATAAAAGAAAAATAAGCAACAGACATTAGAAACCAATGACAATGATACTACAAATGGAAACAGGATATCCCCAAAGGTCTATCAGAAGAAAGTTCACAGCCCGGAGTGCTTTTCTTACTAAACAAGAAAGAGTAAAAATAAATAAGCATTCAATCCAAGAGTGATAGAGTGGAGAGGAAATAAACGTAAACAAAAGAACAGATTTAATAAAGATATAGTAGAAAGTGTATTTGAAAATCATAAAAATGATAAGCGAATCCCAGAGCTAGTTTTTTAGGAGCAATAAAATGAACAGACTTTTGCAACACTGATCAAGAAGAGAGAGAGAGAAATCATAAACACATAACATGAGGCATGAGAAAGGGGATTAAAAAAATAGAGATGTTAAAAAGTAACTGAATAACTGTATATAACACTCTACTAATGAATCTGAAAAGGTCCAAATTTATATGTCAAAGTACCAACATTAAGGAGAGAGAGAACAGGGGAAGGAACAAAACCTACCTAGAAGGATTTACTAGTAAATTGTATTAAATATCAAGAACCAGCTAACTCATCTGTTTAATAAATTAATGGTGGATGGAAAAAGTGATGAATAAATGACTGGATAAATGGAGAGATGGATGGATGAATAGGGGCCTCGATACATAGAATTGGAGATTGGTAAAGGGGCTAAGGATGGAGGAGGGAAGAAGAGAGTTTTAAGAGTGGCTAAGGCTGATGCTTGACCTCCAGCCAAAACAATCTTGGCCCACACCCACTTGGCCTGGCAGAAATCCCTTCCAAAAGTCCCAGGTTTGGGCCCTGGCGGTGGCTGACTCCTGTAATCCCAACACTTTGGGAAGCCAAGTCCGGAGGATTGTTTGACCCCAAGAGTTCAAGATCAGCTTGGGCAAGATGGCGAGATCCCGTCTCTACTTTTATGAATAAAATAAAAAACAAAAATCCCAGGTTTGGTCTTTCCTGAAACTGACAACCCCTGCATACAGGACTAGAAGGCCAGTATTCACAGGCTAATCCAGACAGATCAATTAAACCAGGAGAACCAGAAAGCCTGACAGTGCCCAAGCTCTCCTAGTGACCTGCCCTTCCCTCCCCAGCCCTCTGTTTCCTCCCCAGGAGCTCGCAGGTGCAGTCTCTCCAGGGGGCAGTGAGAGCCATGAATAGTAAGGGTTTTAGCTCAAGCACACAGAGGCGTTTAGCTGCCCAAATCTAATCCCCCAATAATCGGCTTATGTAAATTCCTACTTCAACCCCTTCCCCTGCAGGTCCTAGCCCCAAAATTCTCTACATTGGGAGACTGGCATGGGAGAAGACCCATCACTCTGAAGGATCACTGCTAGTGAAATGATGCGCCAAAGATTGTTTCCCCTGCTTCTGAAAGTATAAAACCAACAATAACATTTAAGAATGTTTTGAAAAGAAAAAACCATCAACCCTGGTCCCAGGATGTCAACACAATCGGGCTCCTTTCTCTGTAGCCCTTGTCCTTTCTCTGAGTCCTTGTCCACTCGCACACAGATCCTATTTGACAGCTTATTGTTTCGTTTAGCATCATCCATTTCCAATCTTGCTACCCTGTTACCACAATTCTTTTTCTCAGCTGTAAAATATGCCATTCAAAAAAATATATCACCTTACAGTTTTTGGCTGAGGTGAAGATTAATACAGGTTATTGCTTCAAAATGTAACATTTGCTGTATTATAATTGCCATATGGGGAAAACAGAGGAGCAGAAAGAGGAGCAAATCAGAGAAGCTTACTGCAAATATTAGTTTTTGTAGTTGTTTGTTTTTCTAGATGGAGTCTCTGTTGCCCAGGTTGGAGTGCAGTGGCATGATCTTGGCTCACTGCAACCTCTGCCTCAAGCGAAGCGATTCTCATGCCTCAACCTCCCAAGTAGCTGGAATTACAGGTGTGCGCCACCACACCTAGCTACTTTTTGTATTTTTAGTAGAGATGGGGTTTCACCATGTTGGCCAGGTTGGTCTCAAGCCCCTGACCTCAGGTGATCCACCCACCTCGGCCTCCCAAAGTACTGAGATTACAAGCATGAGCCACCGCACCTGGCCTTAGGTTATGTTTCTAAAGATCCCTTTTTACCAACTAATTTTCCCCAATCCACCCTCCAATCTCTCCTCTATACTGCCACCAGAATGAGTCTTGCGACCTGTGACTAAACATACTATTCCCATGTTCAAAGCACACAGTTGTATTTGTCTGGGCTGCCCTCTCCTCCACCCTTGCACTTGTATTATAATTCCTACCCAGTCTTTACCACCCTTCCACCAGGCACCCAGCAGTCAGAGCCCCTCCCCTGGACACTGTGCTTTTAGATGGCCCCTCTCTGGCCCTCCTCCAGTGCTCACCCAACTCCTATGTCCCACCTTCTAGAACATATTCTGGGAACCTGGGACCCCTGAATTTCTGTTCAAATGACCATGAACCCTTTTCCAGGGCCTGGATAGGGCTATTCCCTAGGTCCATGTGGGCTGGGAGTTCGCATCATTTTCACAAGGCCCTTCACAGAAAAAGACAGAGCTAGCGGGTGGGAAAAGAATGGGGACGGGGATGGAGTCTCCATTTGTACCCTTATCATGGCCCCCACAAATGTCAGAGCCACCCTTGCTTCAAGGCCTAGTTTAAATGCCATCTGTCCCATGGGTAACCTCTGATCCCCCAGCTAGAATCTTCTACCTTTCTGTCCCTAACTCTAATTTCACACTCTCTCGCATTCAGGACTGTCTGTCTTATATTAGTCATGTTGTCATGTCTTCTCCCTTCCAATAGCTGTTAGTGCCTTGAAAATAGATACAGAGCTTTCCTCACCTTCATGCCTACCTCCCCATCCTACCCCACTCCCCTCCTACCACCATAACCTAGCAATTTATGCAACACCTTTTAAATTTATAATAAAACTGTATTGTTTGTTTTGGAGGTGGGTAAGGTGGGTGGCGGTGTGACAAACAACCCCAAAGTCTCAGTGACTTACAACAATAAAGATTTATTTCTACTCATGTTATATGGTTGGTTGTGGTTTTGCTCCATGGCATCCAGGCTGCACGAGCAACCCCAAACATAACTTTCTCATGGCTGAGCCCATCCAGCAATCCCAACTGGAGTCTTGCTCTATCCCCAGGCTGGAGTGCAGTGTTGCAATCTCGGCTCACTGCAACCCCTGCTTCCCAAGTTCAAGCGATTCTCCTGCTTCAGCCTCCTGAGTAGCTGGGATTACAGTCGTGTGCCACCATGCCCGGCAAATTTTTAATTTTTTTTTAGTAGAGATGGGGTTTTACTATGTTGGCCAGGCTGGTCTCGAACTCCTGAACTCAAGTGATCTGCCCGCCTTGGCGTCCCAAAGTGTTGGGATTACAGGCATGAGCCACTGCAGCCGGTCCAGCAATCCCTTGTAAAGCTTCTGCTCCATCATGATCAATGTTAGGGCTGCTCGCATTCTATTGGCTGATGCAAGTTGTATGGTCAAGCCTGGCAATGGGGCAGGGAAGTATAGTTCCTCCACTTACAGGGAGGCACTGCCAATCACACGGCAGTGAGTGGGGCTATATAATCCTCTCCAAGGGAAGGGAGCCAATAGTTATTAACAATAATACAATGGACCACAATAAAATTTACAATATACCGACTATGTGCTAGGCATACTGCTAAATGCTTTACCTACTTTTTTCTCATTTAGTCCTGACAATTCTGTCATTGTCCCCATTTTACAGATAGGGACTAAGGCAAGCATAAATTCTATAATTTGCCTAGGATCACATAAGTGAATAGACAAGGAATTTCCACCTGGGTAATGTAACTCCAGAGCCCTTTGCTCTTATCCACTAAGCTGCAATTTGTTTGTGAATTTATTGTGCCAGGTCCTATACCAGATCTTTCAGAGAGAGTGGTACCTGGGAATTCATTACTTATTCATTCATTAATCAACATCTGATGAACACCTGTTCACTGGGAGTAGATGGGGTAGGGAAGAGGCAGAGAAGATAAATAAGTAAATAATACTCAAGTGGGGATGAGTGTTAAGAAGAATAAAGCAAACAGAAGGATGAAGACTCTGTGTGTGTGTGTGTGTGTGTGTGTGTGTGTGTGTGTGTGTGAGCAATTTTAGTTTTTTTTTTTTTAAGAGACAAGGTTTCACTATGTTGACCAGGCTGGAGTGTTGTGGCTATTCACAGGTGCGATCATAGTGCACTGCAGCCTCAGACTCCTGGCCTCAAGCTATCCTCTTGCCTCAGCCTCTGGAGTAGGTGAGATTACAGGCTCACTACCACGCCAGACAGATGGTGCAATTTTAGATATTGTGGTCACAGACTTCACTGAGAAGGTGCCATTTGAGTAAAGACCTAAAGAATGTCAGCTCCTTGAGGGCAAGGACTTGTATCTGTTTTGTTTGAAGTTGTGTCCCCAGCAACTAGAACAGGGCCTGGCTCATTGTAAGCTCTCAGTAATAATGTGTTGAACGAATGAAAGGAGGTTAGGGAGGGAATCGTGGATAACTTGGGGGAAGAGTGTTTAAGGCCCAGGAAACAGTCAGTGAAAAGGCTCTGAGGAAGGAGAGTATCTGGTGAGTTCCTGAAACAACAAAGAGACCAGAGTGGCTAGAGCTGAGTGAGCCCCAGGAAGAGAAGAGACAGACAGCTCAGGGGGATAGAAGGTATCTCTGGGCCCATTTTAAAGGCTTCAGCTTAACTCAGTGAAATGGAGAGCCACTGAGGGGTTTTGAGCAGAGAAGTGACCAGAATCTGACTTGTGTTTTCATAGCATCATTCTGGATGATGTTGGAGAACAGACAGAAGGAGGCAAGTCCAGAAGCAGGAAGACCAATTAGGAGTCCCTTCCCTCACTGAAATAACCAATATTAGTGCTGGGCATTGTGGAAACTGAAATGGATAAATTCGGGAACCTGCCCAGTACAGTGAATGTTAAATTCTGCTGTGCATCTTAATCTCCTGAAATACTTAGGTTTTAAAAATGCAGATTTCAGACCACACCCCCCATCCTGAAAAATCCTAGTTTCCTGGGTCTGGGTTGTGGGTGTTGGGATCCTCCTTCCCCACCTGTGATTCTGAAGCAAGTTGTTGCTGAACTCCAGGTGGAGGCTCACTGGGGCTTCATAAACATCTGATGAATTAACAACGGATACGGACTTTCCCAGGGTTGAATGTGTTGGAGAAGGAGGTTGGTAAGCGGCTCCCCCAGCCCAGGTGGGTGGCAGGACCCCCTTACCGCCCCCAAGTATCACACGAGGCGGGGCTCTCCTTCCTCCCTTGCTCCCTTTCCAGGGCACAAGAGAGAGTTGGTCTCCGGAAGCCAGGGCGCGGAGAGTGGGGAGGAAACGGTGGGAGTCCCCGTCGGGAAGGGGCCCCCGGGCCCCGCGAGACAAAGGGCGGTGTCCTATAAAGGCGGCGGCGGCGGCGGCGCGGTGTCCAGGCGAGGGCGCACACGGCCGGCGAGGGCGACGGCTACGGCGACGACGCGGGCTCTTTGCGAGGAGGTGCGTGGACTCCGGGGGGACATGGGCGCAACCAGGGCCGGGCTCGTGGGCCTGCGGGTCTCTCGCTGAGCCATACTCACCCGGGAGAGCAGGAATGCGGCGGAGACTTGGTAGCGGCCACCGAGCCAATTCGGTGGGAAGACCGGGGGACTTTCCGCGGGGCAGGGGCGGTGGCTCAGCTCCGGGGGTGCTAGGCCGACTCTCTAGCGTGTTGGCGGGCCCGCGTCGCTTTTATGCGTGATGCCGGGGACCCCCTTGTACCGCTCTCGGCGGCGCATCTCCCAGAGCCCTTCAAGGAGCTCGCGCGTCCCCGAGCGACTCCCGGACACCTGGCAGATTCGAAACTTCAGCCACTAGATGCTTTCCTGGACTCCCTAAATACTTAATCATTAGGCAAGGCAATGGTTTGCAAGGGGGAGCAAAAGTTATAAAAAGAAAAAGGGAAAGGCCTGGAAGCGAAGCGGGCAAGGGAAGAAGCTTGGGCAGAGTATTCGAGATGCGTCCAGGCTGCACGGTGCAGGGGTCGGGTGCATCTTAGAACAGGTGGCTCCCCCAGCGTGAGGCTACTGTGAACGGCGCTGAAGAGCAGTATTCATACTGTGTGCTGCTGATTTAATATATCAACATGCAGAGTTGTGTAAGTGAGAAAAGCGACTTGCATAATATATATGGTGATTTTAAAGGGTGTGTGTGTGTATGTGTGATACACACACCAAACTGGCTGCGGCTGGGGAGTGAGACTGAGTAGCTAGACAGGTAGGTAGCCTTTTATTCTTTACTTGAGGCACATATGTATGCTTGATATTTTTTTTCTTAAATGAGCTTGTATTACTTCTATAAATAACTTCAAAAGGCAGAGTTGTGCCTCATATTGCAGGTTAAGCACTGTTCCCCAATCTAACTATATAAACCACCCTTCATGGCGAGTATTTTCACTTACTTTCAAGAGAAAGGTGAAAGAAGAGACAAATGCACCGGACCAAATGCCAGGAAGATAAATTTAAAGTGGAATGAAGAAAGAGCTGTATGTGAGTGAATGCCTGGGACAGGCCCCCCAGTGTTAGCTGTGAGCCTGTGCTGCACCCTCTCTGGTGAACCCGGTCTTCGTGTCCAGGAACCCCTGGCACAAAAAGTAGCAGCTCCTGTTAGGGGCATTGGTCACCTCCTTGGGGGAGTGTGTCCTTCTTTTCTCTGCTAATGTGTTACCTTCAGTAGCGACAATATAAACAGAGAATTTATGCATATCCATGTTCCTGGCGTTTCTACCTGACTTTCCTCCAACCTAGTCATTCTTAGCCTGGGATACACAACCCCCATCCACCCAGGAATATAGAGATAGAATTCAGGGGTGCTATGAATTTGGATGGAGAAAAATTACATCTTTACTTCCACTAACCTTTCATCTAAGCATAGCGTTTCCTTTATTTATGAATGTGGGTAATAAACTGTAGTAGTATTAGCCGTGGTGGTGAATTTGTCACCAATAGAAATCATAGATGCATGCATTTCATGTCACAGATGTTGCAGATCTTTTGAAAACATCATTTACATACCACTTTTTAGAGATTATCGTAATAAGTCTAGTTATTTAATGTGTTAAATATGAAGCACATGTATTGCTATATTGTATTTTAAGTTATTTTAATAACTACTAAATATAGTTGGTTGTTTTCTGTGTCTATGTATTTTAATTTATGGACTTAAAATAATTATTCTGAAATGAGAACCAAAGCCTTTTTACTTTATATATTTAAAATCATTGTTCTGAAAACAAATCTGTCCCTAGGCTTCCCCAGACTGCTAAAAGGTCCATGGTACAAAAAAGGTTATGAACCCTGACCCGGCAGGAGTCCTCAATGGTGACATAAATGCATCAATATCCAGGCCTGGGACACAGGCTGTACCACTGATTCCCTGTGTGGCCTAAATGCTTCACGTCTGTTTTGCCATCTATCAAATGTTCTCTGATTCTGTGGCATCTAGTGTATTTTTTTTTTTAGCTCTTACATTACTCTGAGATCACGATTAGCAGCAATCACTCCTTGCGACTGGAAAAACACTAAATGCAGTGCTTTTCCAGCTTGTTAAACCACTGATTTCTATTTCCCCTGTGGAGAAGGAGAGGAACACACTTGAGGATAAATCAACAAGGAATGATTAAGCACCTCCTAGGATGGCAGACTACATTTCAGAAGCTAGTGTTCTCTGTTTTTTGTTTTGTTTGTTTGTTTTTTTTCCTGTCTGTTTCTAGTACAATAGGATAGAGCCCTCTTAGAAAAGAACACCATCGTTAGTTTATCCTGCCTAATCTTTTTTCCTCCCAGCTTGAAAAAGACCCCCCCATGGGACTATGGTTGACTTAGTGAATGAGCTAAACCCTGTTGTGATAAGAGAAGCATGAATGTAACTTTGCTCCTGCAATCCCAGCCAGTGTCAGTGTGGACAAAACTGGATAGTTTTCTACCTTAAAATCCCCTTGATTCAGGTTTAAACTTTTATATTTTAGGTATATACTTGGGTATAGTTCTGACAACACTCAAATTTTCATTGTAGAACCAAAGGTCAGATTATTCAGAAATGACTTAGGTTAGATAAAAGGCAATGTGGCCTGGCATGGTGGCTCACGCCTGTAATCCCAGCACTTTGGGAGCCCAATGCAGGTGGATCGCCTGAGGTCAGGAGTTTGAGTCCAGCCTGGCCAACATGGTGAAAACTCATCTCTACTAAAAATACAAAAATTAGCTGGCTGTGGTGGCGGGCACCTGCAATCCCAGCTACTTGGGAGGCTGAGGCAGGAGAATCACTTGAACCTGTGTGACGAAGTTGCAGTGAGCCGAGACTGTGCCACGGGAGGCCAAGGTTGCAGTGGGCACCAAGATTGGCCACTGCACTCCAGCCTGGGTGACAGGAGCAAAACTCCGTCAAAAAAAAAAAAAATGGAAATGGGTGGGGCATTGTAGCATTTCTGAGTTGAATGAGGTCCTGGGGATCACCTGGCCCACCCCTTTCAGTTTTGGAAGGAGACCTGGCCTGCCTGGGAACCCGCTAGAATGCCTGGCTAGCTGCTGCTTCTCTGCTCCTGCAGTCGCAATGCTTCCCTCACACGTTAATACAATCAGCCAGCTCCTCAACACTCAGCAGCAAGCACAATACCTGGCTCGTAGTGTCAGTAAATGTTGGTCCCAAAGCTTGGAGTGCATAGTATTGTAATTGGTCCATGGGTCCAACTAGGAATGTCTCCACGGAGAGAGGATGTGGGTGCAAGAGGACAGTGCGGGGAGCCGGAAGCCATGTGGTGACCTCGGGCTGCGGTGCTTCCAGTTCACCATGAATTCTTAGCACAGCACTGGACTCCCCAACCCAGACACAAGCAGGAAAGGCAACAAGAAAGGAACTAGGATGGGGAAATGTCCCGGGGGGCATAGAGATGATTGAAAAATGCAGTTGGTGCAGTGGTTCGCCTGTAATCCCAGCCCTTTGGGAGACTGAGGCGGGCAGATCATGAGGTCAGGAGATTGAAACCATCCTGGCCAACATGGTGAAAACCCTTCTCTACTAAAAATACAAAAAAATTAGCTGGGCCCAGTGGCGTGTGCCTATAGTCCCAGCTACTAGGGAGGCTGAGGCAGGAGAATCACTTGAACCCAGGAGGCAGAGGTTGCAGCGAGCTGAGATCGTGCCACTGCACTCCAGCCTGGCGACAGAGCGAAACTCTGTCTCAAAAAAAAAAAAAAAAAAGATTTTATATATGTACACATAAAACAATACCAAAAAAAGAATAAAACACCACAAGTCTCCTTTTTTTCTCTTCTCCCAATCTACTGTCCTCTCCCAATGAACCACTGTTGACAGTTTGGCCTGAATCCTTCCAGGTTTTTGCTCTACACACACACACACACACACACACACACACACACACACACACACACCCATATATTCCTGTAAAGTGAATCAAAAGAGCACATAAACAAAGCTAAGACCTTCTCTAATGCATATAACTTCTTCATTAGGAAGAAAATGATAAATTACAACATTTATTTTTCACTGTTTTATTTTTAAAGATAATAATTGCAATCATTAATTTTCTTTTTTTTTTTGAGACAGTCTCGCTCTGTCGCCCAGGCTGGAGTGCAATGACGCGATCTCGACTCACTGCAACCTCCACCTCCTGGGTTCAAGTGATTCTTCTGTCTCAACCTCCTGATTGGCTCTGACTACAGGCGTGCGCCACCACGCCCTGCTAATTTTTGCATTTTTAGTAGAGATGGAATTTCACCGTGTTGGCCAGGCTGGTCGTGAACTCCTGACCTCAGGTGATCTGCCACCCCCCCCCCCCCCGACTTGGCCTCCCAAAGCGCTGGGATTACGGGTGTGAGCCACTGAGTCCCGCCAATCATTAAATATTTATTGAGCCTTTAATATGCACTAGACACTGAGCTAAGGTGCTTTATGTGTATCATTTCATGTGTCCTCACAATGATGCAGTACTCCTGTACTGATCTTTACTTATGAGGCATTTGAAACACAGAGAGGTTAAGTAGATTGCTCGTCACACAGCTAGGGTGAGTATAACCAACAGCCAAACCGGGGTTCTGGCCTTGGAGCCTGTGCTCTTGACCACCATGCATATGGTTCCACTGATGGCTGAGTTACGTGAAGACTCCTGTAGAGTCAGGGCTTGGAAAGGGAAGATCTCACCTGCTGTTTAAAGAAATAGGTAAGTAGAGAGTGGGGAGGAAATTCAAGGAACAGAAAATGACAATGTGCGAAAGTGTAGAGTTGGGAATATTCATGAGTCTTCGGAGGAACTAGAAAGGGCCCAGTGCCCAGAGGAGCTGAGCGTGGAGCAGGCAGCAGACCAATAGCAGTAAGCCAAGAACATCAAACTGCCTGGGGCTAGACTTGGGCTTGTTTGCCAGTGCCTCCCAAGTGTTCCTATTAGCACATGTTAATCCAAGCCACTTGAAAAAAGGGACTCTTGCCTCTAAGAGTGAAAAATGCCTGCATAATGCTCGGCAGTATGTGATGATAAACCACTCTCCTAGACTTGGAAAGGTCATCCAATGCAGCCCCAAAGAGGCCCAAGTATCTTCTACAGAATCCACGCCAAATCACCACTCCCACCTGCCCCTTGTCTTTTCATTTTTGCGAGACTAAATACCCCCACTTCTGTTCTTCATACACCAGGGTTTCAAGACCCTTCATCATTCTGTTCCTGCTCCTCTAAATATAGTCCAGTCTGGATATTTTAGTTCTTACAGAGAGGGGCTGAATCCTCCAGGTGAGGTCTGCCAGCTAACAAGAGAGCTGTATTGTCTTCTCTATTCCAAATTTTATTTTATTAACGAAACCTACAATCATTTTCTTTTTTTACTTCATTCTGATAATACATTGTTGATTCATATTCAACTCTCTGTTGGTGGCCGGGCATCGTGACTCACGCTTGCAATCCCAGCACTTTGGGAGGCCGAGGCGGGTGGATCACCTGAGATCAGGAGTTTAAGACCAGGCTGGCCAACATGGTGAAACCCCATCTCTACTAAAAATATAAAAACTAGCCAGGCGTGGTGGCAGGCGCCTATAGTCCCAGCTACTCCGGAGACTGAGGCAGGAGAATCGCTCAAACCCGGGAGCTGGAGGTTGCAGTGAGCTGAGATGGTGCCATGGCACTCCAGTCTGGGTGACAGAGTGAGACTCCATCTCAAAAAAAGAAAAAAACAAAAAACAAAAAACAAACTTTCTATTGGCCAAACATATGTTGCATTTATACATAAACTCAATCAATATTGTACCTGATTCTGAACAATTAGGAAGAGTTGGTTATAAAGGAAGAAACAGGAGTATTGGGACAAAGCAATCTTTCAACTGGAGGCTTCAAAACAGCCAGAGAGAAAAAGCTGAAGGGTGTTGTTCTTACCTTCCCCTGTTGTTTTTAAGTTAAAAAAAGAAATTATGCATAATTCATAGCGTCACTGATGCCTCGAAAGGTGAGAGGCATATGTTTGTGTCCCTGTGGGGTTGTTTTCTTTTTTAAAAACCTGAAAATGAGGAAATGAATCTCGTAAGCTCTGAGTCGAGAAAATCTAACATCTCAGGTTCTTGGCAGGACATGTGATACCAATCAGGCCTCTTATAAGATATTGGCCCTGAGGGCCCTTTCTCTTTCCATCTCAGGAACTCAAACATGACCAGGAAGATCTTCACAAATACCAGGGAGCGGTGGAGGCAGCAGAATGTCAACAGCGCCTTTGCCAAG
The DNA here is from genome assembly GCF_000001405.40 of Homo sapiens. Classification (NCBI taxonomy): domain Eukaryota; kingdom Metazoa; phylum Chordata; class Mammalia; order Primates; family Hominidae; genus Homo; species Homo sapiens. Next base: position 105,662,569 of record NC_000009.12, read on the forward strand.
CTGAGGAAGCTCATCCCCACTCACCCTCCAGACAAAAAGCTGAGCAAAAATGAAACGCTTCGCCTGGCAATGAGGTATATCAACTTCTTGGTCAAGGTCTTGGGGGAGCAAAGCCTGCAACAAACGGGAGTGGCTGCTCAGGGGAACATTCTGGGGCTCTTCCCTCAAGGACCCCACCTGCCAGGCCTGGAGGACAGAACTCTGCTTGAGAACTACCAGGTTCCTTCACCTGGTCCAAGCCACCACATTCCTTAGTGTGGCTCTGGCTGTCATCTCCCAGGGCAGCACTTGCCCAGAAATCACTGCCTGTGGACAGACTTTTGCATGTTCCAGAGTTGACCTGATGATAACTCGTGAAGCATGAATTCTAGCTTCCTGGGAGGTGGCTCAGAGACAGCTGCAGGGAGCTGAAAGAAGCCATGAGGAATGTCACTTGTGGGCCGCCACCCCCCAGGGATGTCAGGTAGAGCGGCCTACCTCTGCCTATTTTAAATCCAGGTTCTGCATAAGACTTTTGGAGAAAAAATTCTAAATAAAAAAAAAAAAAGGCTGAAAATCACTGTTTATACTCAATGTCTTCAGTTATAAGAAAGAAGTTTTCTCATAATGGATCTCAGATGAATAAGTAGAATATGCTTCCTTCAGAACATATTTTAAAGTTTGTTTTGAAAAATGAGATTTGATCAAGGGTGAACAAAATAAATCTTAAGATTGATGGGCCGGGCACGGTGGCTCACGCCTGTAATCCCAGCACTTTGGGAGGCTGAGATGGGCAGATCACCTGAGGTCAGGAGTTTGAGACCAGCCTGGCCAACATGGTGAAACTCCGTCTCTACTACAAATACAAAAATGAGCCAGGTGTGGTAGTGCGCACCTGTAATCCCAGATACTCAGGAGGCTGAGGCACGAGAATCGCTTGAACCCGGGAGGGGGAGGTTGCAGTGACCCAAGATCATGCCACTGCACTCCAGCCTGGGCAACGGAGCAAGACTCGCTCTCAAAAACAACAATAACAAAAAAAGTTTTCTCATAATGGATCTCAGATGAATGAGTAGCAGCATATGCTTCCCTCAGAACAGATTTTAAAGATGGTTTTGAAAAATGAGATGCATTTGATCAAAGGTGAACAAAATAAATCTTAAGATTGATGAATAGAAAGATAACCCCTGCAGAAACCAACCTGGGAGACTTGCGGGAAAAATCTGTGGAGAAAAGACACCCCCCGCCCCCCGCCCACTAAGGTGTGGGGATTACAGGAATGCAGCAGAGATATGTGGAACAGTTCTGTGTCCTTTCAACTCTGTAGAAGTGTGAGGTGCTACTTGTGCTGAGCCATTTGTACATATGTGACTTCTAAAGGCAAATAGTGGATTATATCTGTGAGACGAAACAACTGGATAATTTATGTGTTAGGGCTCGTAGTTTTCTTACGAAAAACAGTTAGCTGAAATAAGTTAGCTAAAGCCTTCACTTCACATGTCATGCATTAAAACGTTTCACTCAGCCTGAACTCCTGCTGATTCAAGACCTGTAAAATTCAATTATAATTATGAAAATCCAAACATTACCATTTAATGACTCATTTAACAGAGAGCTTAGTTTAAACAAAACATTTAGAGTAAACAATAGAAATGTAATACCAGACGCTAATGAACTAATGAATTTGTAATTTGTCTTCTTTGCTATGGCACATTAGCCTTCTCAAAAAGAAAAAAGTTTCTCATAATAGATCTCAGATGAATGAGTAGCATATGCTTCCCTCAGAACAGATTTTAAAGTTGGTTTTGAAAAATGAGATGTATTTGATCAAGGGTGATCAAGCTTAGTCTTAGGCTTGGAGGCCTGGTACCCAACAAGTCAGTGAAATAGCACGGATCTGGCAGAATCCATCACCATATGCCACCCTGATGATACTTGGAGTCAAAGATAAATCCTATAGTTGAACCTGGAATACAAATAATGTTATTTGATTATCTCTGGGACATTTTCCTTCCCCAAAGTTCTTGACAGTACATTGGTTTTAAAACCTTCTAAACCATACGTAGGAAACTGATGGATTTGAGATTAGGGATTTCCAGTATATACACAACAGAGGAATTTAAATTTCCTGCCACTCAGAAATAAGGTGTTTTACTTGTGAAAGGTTGAAATGAGCCTCCTTGGTCTGGTGATTGGAAGAAAGCTGGATGAAACTCTTACAATCTCATTCTCCCGAAATAGAAAGGTCATTATGTCATTAAATTCTATACAGCATTCACACTTGTAACACAATGCATTTATTTGAACCAGTAAGATTTCCTTCTAGGCCCTTTATTTAAACTGTATTTGGTAAACTTCCCCACGGACCCAGCATAGTCCAGGGAAACACATAAGAAAAGAGATCAAAATGGTTTTCCTGAATGTGCATTTTTTTTTTTCTCACTAGCTTATGTGGACACAAGCTTACCCCCAAATTACCAGGTGATAGTACATTTCAAAGTTTTGATGACAGTTGTCAATTAACATCACTTACTCTCTCATCTGAAATTAAATCAAAATAACACTTTTGACGGTATTTTTATATTAGCTTTGTTTCAACATGTTGCCAAGGAAAGCACAGAGTATCTCTTTGCCTAGATATAGGATTTTGCCCCTCTACCCAGGATGAGTCCACTTTTCTGCTGCTGGGGCCATGATCTGTGTCAAAGGGGGCCATGATCTTCGACAAAGAGGGCCTTTCCGCTGAAATGTAACAGAGTGCTCCTGAAAAGTCATGAGGAGATCAAGTTCTCATTAAACTATGTGAGGGGGAAATTATTTAAAGAAATTTGCAAATAATCCTATAATTAATAAATGAAACTTTAAATCATTAATTTATGTATTTCACCTCCTAAATGATTTCTTTTGCCTGCTTGCATTTTTGTACACCAAGTCATGTTTGGTTAAAGTGACTGTTACGTCAGGTGTGTTGGCATGTGCCTGTACTCCCAGCTACTCGGGAGGCTGAGGCGGGAGGACTGCTTGATATTAGGAGTTTGAGGCCAGCCTGAGCAACATAGTGATACCTGTCTCAAAGAAAAGAAAGAAGGAAAGAGAAAAAAAAGAAGGTGTCTGCCAAAAAGAAAATATAGTCAATTGTGGACCAAAACCTTGACAAGGTATCCATGAGACTGGAAGCTAACTCAAAAATCATTCTAGAGTCTTCTCTGGTGTCCTATACTTAAGGCTTGGTGATGGCAGTAGCAAGAATTTATGATTCAAAAACATTACGGTTCACTGGATGGTACATCTGTTTATAGATCATTTGAGCCCAACAGAATAGTTTGAACAGATTATATAACCTATGCTACTCTGTAACTTAAACAAAAGTGTTTGGCGGTGGGCACCGTGGTTCACACCTGTAATCCCAGCACTTTGGGAGGCTGAGGCGGGAGGATCACCTGAGGCCAGGAGTTCGAGACCAGCCCAGCCAGCATGTTGAAACCCCATCTCTAAAACAATTAGCTGGGTGTGGTGGCGGGCGCCTGTAATCCCAGCTACTCAGGAGGCTGAGGAGAAAGAATCGCTTAAACCTGAGAGGTGGTGTTTGCAGTGAGCTGAGATCGCACCACTGCACTCCAGGAGACAGCAAGACTCTGTCTCAAAAAAAAAAAAAAAAAGTGTTTAGTCTGCTATGGACACCACTAGAAACTTCTAGAAACCAGGTATAAACAGGTCCATTGATTCATATAGATCATTTGATGGTCTAATGCCGGTCCCTCATTTTACAGAGGAGAAAATGGTTCTAGAGGGATTTGAAGTGACTGTCCAGAGGCCACATGCGCAGTTAGTGGAAACCCAGGACCCAGATCTAGGTCTGCAGACACTGTGTTTAGCCTTTCTACGGCCCTGTTCAGCCACCAAGTATTTTAGGATTGAAAATGAAAAAGCACCTTATCATTATGCTTGTCTCTTTTCAATAGCATTCAGTAATCTTCTTCATATGTCTTTTTACTGAAATTAAATTATTGTACTTTGTAAAATGTGATTAGATATATCAACCAAAGATTTTATTTGTTGATGTTTTGTGAGTTTTTAACCATTGACTATAATTTGTTATTTAACTGTTAATTTATTGCAAATAAATTATTTAAGAAAACAAATTGTTCATTTAAAGAAAAATTTCATAAATTTACTAAGCACATTCACCCCTTCTCTCATCTTCACAGCCACTATCCTGGCTTTGACATGTCCCCCCACCCCCCACCAGCTCCCCCGTGGTCTTTAGTATAGAAAAAAACCCAGCGTCACCTGAAATCAGTCTTCTTCCTCTTCATGTCACTTTTCTCACAGCTCCCTAATGGTCCTTCTCAAATCACGGCTGTAGTCATATCACTTCTCTGCTACAAAACCTTCAGTATCTTGTCTACCAGATTGAGACAAATGCCATACCCTAGCAAACCAGGCCCTCTGCATCCTGGCCCCAGTGTGTCCTTCCCTTCACCCTCCACAATGCCTATACGTATGGTACATGCCAATGAAACTACTTTAGTTAAAGATCCCCAAACATGCCCACTCTTTTTTACTCCTGACTTTACTCCTGTGATGCCAAAGGCTTGGATTAATGCTCCCATTCTCACTTGTTCTACTCGCCCCTCCACCTGTGCCAAATTCCACATGGCTGATCTTTTTTCTTCTGGTTGGAGTGCAGTGGCACCATCACTACAGCCTCAAACTCCTGGGCTCAAGGGATCCTCCTGCCTCAGCCTCCTGAGTAGCTGGGACTACAGGTGCATGTCACCACACTCGGCTAAAAATTTTTTTATTTTTTATTTTTTTTGTAGAAATGGTCTTGCCATCTTGCTCAGGCTGGTCTCAACCTCTTGGGCTCAAGCAATCCTCCTGCCTCAACCTCCCAAAGTGCTGGGACTACAGGCATGAGCCACTGCACCAGCCCATGGGATCTTAAACACCATCTCTTACATGAAGTCCTCCTAGATTTCTACTACTTAATCTAACCTCTCTTTCCTTAGAATCCCCTTATATGCTTTATGATCCTTACTTCTCCTACCTTCTGTTATAGATAACTGTGTGTATTCTGTTTCCCCTAAAAAGCTAAAATTTGCTTGAGTTCAGGAAGAGTTTCTAATATTTAATCTCTACAGCAGCACTGCAAATGACCCCCACTTTCAAAATGTGAAAACTTATGTCAAGACTGGCTCTGTTAAGAGTACTCTTTTAGCTTTCTCTAAAAGATGACATTGAAATGAAACTTGAACAGGCTGAATTTTTCTGAGAAACCCAAAGTCTAATACTCTTCTGAAAAGTTAGCTTCTCATTATTCCTATTCAAGGATACCCCTGGCAGCACCTGCCTTATGAGGTTTCATCACCTAAGAATGGCTTGAGACGGCCAAAATAAGTATAAGTTATGCACGACTGGCTTTGTCCCTAAAAAGGCAAAAGATGAAAGAGCCTGGGAGAATGAACAGCTTAACTGCTGACCCACAGGCCAAAGGTTAGTCAAAAGTCACATCGTTAAATAAAAAGGTCAAAGATAAGGAGGAAATCTAAAAGTCCAATGGCAATGCAAAGTGAAGGATTTAAAGGGCAGGTGTTAGGAAGGGAATGCCAAGGAATGAATGCAGTTAAGGGATTACAGAAAGCAGGGACAAGGTCTCCTGAACCACACTTGCACTTCTCCGCTGTTTAGAGTTTACTGTAAACAGAGAAATGCTCCATTTTATTTTCTCTTTATTGCTAATGGCTTAGCACAAAGAGATTTTGAAGAGCACTAGATTTATAGATAAGCTTTATGTTTGTAATCTACCAGCTAGCATTTATTCTAAGAATTTAATTTCCAGAGCCAAGAATTCCCTGATAGTCCAATGAAGCAAACTATTGAATTGTCTTTATTAGTAAACTTTTAAAAAAGAATGTAGTCAATATGCTCATACACTTGAACCTAAGTCATTATCCTTCGAGGAACCTATCAAAAAACATAATTGGGCTGGGTGTGGTGGCTCACGCCTGTAATCCCAGCACTTTGGGAGGCCGAGGTGGGCGGATCATGAGGTCAAGAGATCGAGACCATCTTGGCCAACATGGTGAAACCCTGTCTCTACTAAAAATACAAAAATTAGCTGGGCGTGGTGGTGTGCGCCTGTAGTCCCAGCCACTCGGGAGGCTGAGACAGGAGAATCGCTTAAACCTGGGAGGCAGAAGTTGCAGTGAACCGAGATTGGGCCACTGCACTCCAACCTAGTGACAGAGTGAGACTCCATCTCAACAACAACAACAACAACAACAAAAATTGGAATTATGATCAAAGAATTATGTACATAAGTATCTATTTCACAACTATTTACAACATTCATAAAATTATAATATTAAGAGGTAAAGTCAAGATTAGCCGAGTGCTTCCTTTTTTATTTTATTTTTACTTGTTATTTGTTCTTGGAAACAGGGTCTCACTATGTTGCCCAGGCTGGTCTTGAACTCCTGGCCTCAAGTGATCCTCCTGCCTTGGCCTCCCAAACTGTCGGGATTATAGGCATGAGCCACCACACCTGGTTGGCTGAGTGCTTTCTACATACCAGCACTATGCCAACAGCTTCCTGTGTATCAGCTCATCTAATCTTTGTAACAATATTATATTATTAATATAATATGAGCTATGTTATATTAATTACATGACTATATTATATTAATATCACTGTTCCCATTTTGCAGATAAAGAAACTGAAGTGTAGAAGGTTATCTAACTTGCCCAAATTTCCACTGCAGAGCCAGAATTTGACCCTCAGTTGTTTTTACTCAAAATCACTGCATTCTGTAAAGTCAGGGTTGCTTTTCACAGATAGCTTTAATTCTTTTTGATCCTAACCACCTTAATGGAACCTCGTGAACTAGGTATATTACCCAATAATGATATTGGGTAAACAAACACAACCCCTGGAAAAAAAAAAAAGCTTCCTATTTGGGAGCACCAGGCTGGAGTTAACACCACGATGAGACACCATGAAAAGACCATCATACTGAGGCAGGCTTGAATGTGATACCTGCAGGTACAACTTGTTAGTTCCATGGTCTGGACGTGGTGACGTGCCAACATGACATGATTTTGTTGTTTTCCTGTCACTGCCTTTAACGGGGCTCTGCTTAATCTTCCTTTCCCATCCAGTCATGACAGGTTGGGCTAGTTTGGGCCAATTTGAAAGTCCATCTCATCTCCTTCCTGCCTCCAACTCCACCCTGGCTCAAGCTTGACCTATGCCTCAAGTGTGTGTTTGCAGGGGAGGTGCACACTCCCAGGGTGGGAGATCCACTCCTCCACATCTTCTGCTGTCCCCCTTTTGCTTTTAGCTCCTCTGGAGTTGGGGAGGAAGGAGGGTTTAAGGAAACGGACAAAGTGTTTTGTTCACTAGATATGGAATAGCATTCTTGCTGTCTTCATATATTTTTAAGACTTTTTGCATCAGTTCTTTTTAACTATTGATATACAAGTACCTGGTTTAAAAAGACTGAAGAACAGCATACAACAGCCTCTTGGATTCAACAAGACTGTACCTTGCACATAGTCTCATAGCCACTGAGATCCTCTTCCCACTTTGGAGGAAGTGGAACGTTGTGCTGAAATACCTGGCGTCTGCACCAGTAGCCAGATCACTTAAGCATATTTTTTGAACCTTTCACTAAATAAATCAAGATTTGATTTTACCTTATGGCATGTGGATATGTGTATATACACATATGTTTGTGTGTGTGCACCTGTTCTCTTTCCGCTGACTATAGTACACCTGAGATGGTACAATTGTGCCTCTCACACCTCATATAGGCAATACACAGAGTATGGATTTTGAAAGAGATGTTGATAGTAAGACAGTGGTGACTGAAAAATGCCTGGGAAGGACTGGATAGTCTGTTACATGAGATCGTTTGGTCTGTAAAAGGAAGTAGGGGATGTCATAACAGTGAAATCTACCGGCATTCCCCTTACTCCTTTCAGTTTGGACTAGTGAATGACTAGAGAAGGTAAGAGATGAGGCTCAGCTGGCCTAAGACCTAGGGTCTTGGGTTTTCTTTAACATTCTAGCCAAAGAGGTGGAGGGCATAGAAGATCTACATAATGAGCTAAATCCCACCGGGAGGAGGAGCCTGGAGCAAGGGCTGTAACCTAGGTGTTCTGGGAATGTTCCCAATCTCGTCACTTGGTATGGTAATATTACAAATGGAATATTACCCTAGAGACACCCCCTCCTCAGCTCCTGTTAGACTGAGGATTAGTGACCTTCCCTGCAAAAACTGGTTCCATGCTCAGTTTTTAAGCAGTATGTGGGAGGAGAGCCAAAAATGCTCTAATTATCCCTGGATGAATAGATTTTAAAAGGAAGAAGAGAGAGGGCAACCGAGGACAAAACAATCAAGTAAACAAATGAACAAACAATGTGTTTGCCAAACTGCGACAGGAGGCCTCTAAAAATCAGTTTTTACCTTGGATCCCTAATCTGGGCAAATAGATTGTGAAATACTCAGGTGCAAAAATTTGTTTTCAGAATACAGTCACATTTATATTTAAAATGGGGTCTGTTTAAAATTATTATTATACTTCAAGTTCTCGGATACATGTGCAGAATGTGCAGGTTTGTTACATAGGTATACACGTGCCATAGTGATTTGCTGCACCTATCAATCCATCATCTACATTAGGTATGAAATGGGGTCTTTTTAAGCAAAACTTTAAAAACACCAGATTTTCAAGGTGTAAACATAATTTTTTCCCTTAAGTATTCCTGTTTAAAAAAATAAGTGTGACCTGGTCAGGTTTAAGTAGATGAGCTAACTGTGTAAAAATGTAAAAATCTGTACATATTATCATGTGTGGGTTATAATTATATTAAATTAAAATGGCCTCAATTCAACTGCAATCTTTTATAAGTTGATGGTGTTTTAAGGTCTATAATTTGAATATTTTAGAAGTCAAGTTTAAGATACAATTAAGATAGAGAAAAATGATAATATGCCCAAAAGATGGTTATTGAAAAGTCATTTTCTAAAGCTATTTTTAAAGGAAAAAAAAAGGTAAGAGTGGGATTAATAACAGGAGCATTTTTTCTTTTGGAAAGTATTTTTGAGTAGATAATTTACTTATATGGTATAAGAATCAAAATTATACTAAAAGAGAAATATTGAAAAGTCTTATTTCTACCTTGTATCTATCAACCCTATCTCCCATCCCTTTTCAGAGTTTAATTATCATTTAGTAGTTCATTATGCAAATACAGTTGGTTCCCAATTTACAGTGGTTTGAATTGGGATTTTTCAACTTTAAGATGGTGAGAAAGTGAAATGCATTCAGTAGAAACAGTACTTTGAGGACCCATATAACATTTCTGTTTTTTACTTTCAGTACAGTATTCAGTAAATTACATAGTAAAGTAAATTACATGTACTTTCAGTACAGTATTCAATAAATAGTCAACACTTTATTATATAATAGGCTTTGTGTTAGATGATTTTTGCCCAACACTATTGTAAGCATCCTGAGTATGTTTTAGGCAGACTAGGTTAGTTATGGTGTTTGGTAGGTTAAGTGCATTAAATGCATTTTCAACTTAGAATATTTTCAGTTTACAGTGGGGTTATTAGGATGTAATCCTAAATTGAGGAGTATCTGCATAACTATATATTCTCATGTCTTCCTCTTATTCACACCATCTTGCTGCTTTTTCTTTTTTTCTTTTTTTTTTTTTTTTTTTTTGAGACAGAGTCTCACTCTGTTGACGAGACTGGAGTGCAGTGGTGCGATCTCGGCTCACTGCAACCTCTGCCTCCCAGGCTCAAGTGATTCTCCTGCCTCAGCCTCCCAAGTAGCTGGGATTACAGGTGCGCACAACCATACCCAGGTAATTTTTGTATTTTTAGTAGAGATGGGGTTTCGCCATGTTGGCTAGGCTGGTCTCTAACTCCTAACTCCTGGACTCAAGTGATATACCCACCTCAGCCTCCCAAAGTGCTGAGCCACCATGCCTGGCCTGCTTTTCTCTGGTAACACTATAACCTAAAGATCTTCCCAAATCATAGAGGACTTTCTCATTCTTTTTAATATCTGCATGTATTACATCATGTCCATTTGTGTTGTTTCCAGTCTTTTGCTGATACTAATGCTGCTGCAATGAATAACCTGTAACATGTGATTTCCCAAGGGTGCAGGTACACCTGTAGAATGAATGCAGTCTTAGCAGCATGTATGGGTGTTCTTGTTTCTGCACAAATTCACCTTCATGTTATGTTGACAATTGCTGGGATACTTGCCAATCTGATAGGTGAAAATGTTATCTCAATGTGGTTTTAGTTTGCCTTTTTCTTTTTATGATGAGGCTGACATCGTATGTGATGAAAGAAAAACTTCAGCCAAATAAAATTTAAAGGAGCTTAATTGAGCAATGAACAATTTGCAAATCAGGCAGCCTTCCGAGCCAGAGCAGGCTCTGAGGCTCCAGCACAGCCAATGTGGTGAAAGATTTATGGACAGAAAAAGGAAAGTGACATACATAAAAGGGAAGTGACATACATAAAAGGGAAGTGAGGTACAGAAATAGCTGGATTGGTTACAGGTGGGCATTTGCCTTATTTGAACGTGGTTTGAACAGTTGGCTACATTTGAATGGCCAAAACTTGGTGATTGGCACAAGTGTAGACTATGGTGGGTTTACTTGTTATGGGTTCACGATGTACAGAGAAACCTTTAGTCTGAACTTAAAATATGTAAGGAGGCAGCATTACGCTAAACTTGATTTAACATGTTTGTGAGTTGTTTGTATTTCTGTTTCTGTGGACTCTCTTAAACGTCCTTTGCCCTTTGTTTCTGCTGGACGGTTGGTCTTTTTTTCTTCCCCAATTTCTAAAAGCTCTTTATATATGAAGGAGATCAACTCTTTTTCTGTGATGTGGGCTACAGATATTTTCCCCCAATATTTCATTTGTCTTATGACTTTGTTTATGGTATGTGCCAGATATTCAAATTTTATTTTAATGTAGTACAATTAATCAATTTGATGGTCCTGGATTTTGAGTCGTAGTTAGAAAGTCTTCCTTTACTCTGAGGTTTTTGACTTTCTGGATTCAGTTTAAAATCTTGCTGTGAGGTCCTATCTTTGAGGCTTCTGATGAAAGAAATAGGGGGCTAGGGGATGCTGAATATTCTCTCTCTTTTAATAAAGACTACTTATGAACTTAAAATTACGTATTTAAAGTAAATTCCAATTGAAAAAAAAAATTGCTCCCTCACCACATTCTAAATTTGGCTCTAAAAAAAGGAGTTTCAAAAACATGCTCCCTAGAACTCTGACACAAGGAAGAGAGAGGACCCTGGGTCCACTAGGTCTTGATAGATTAGTACCCTGTACATTGACCCTTAGCTGGCTGAGCTAAGAGGACACATACCCTTGGACTGGAACAAAAAGAAAATCCAAAAGAGGAAGGAAACAACAATAAAATAAAGTTTCAGTTGACAACAACTGCTTGGCAAGTGGGGCCCCAGAGTGAGATGGCTGGGTAAAGGTGAGGCCCGGGTCTCCTGCTACCCACTGCTAGTCCCCAGGGTAACTGGAACCCAGGGAAGGTGTGGCCATGGGAGGGGGAGGGGCTGTCTGAAAGCAGCTATGGTTGTAGATATGGGAAGGGGGATAAATACCTTGACCTGTTTCTCTCCTCCCACCTGCTGTTCTGCCACCGCATTCCATTGGCCAAAACCAACCAGAACCCAACCAGAGGGCAGGGAGGCCAGAGTGATGGAGGCTGAGGTGTGTATAGGTCAGCCTCCTGGGGCATAGAGCAGGCAGAGCGTCTTCACTACCCTCTCCCTGCAAAAAGAACCAGATAATAATTTTTTTTTCTTTTTTGCTGAAGGTCATTCTATCCGATGGGTAATAAATTTTAATGAAAGATCTTCTTCTGATAGCTATTGAGATGGATATGATATATAATATTTTCTTGCATTTTGGATAAATCTTACTTGGCCATAGTATAATTTTATTTTCATATGCAGTCAAATTATCTTCCTCATCTATATCTTAACCATGATAATAAAATATTTCTGAAAAAGTCAAATGTTCCCACAATGAACCTTTACTAAAATCTATATGGAAAAGCACAAAAATAATTTATATAAGCAGAGGACCATGTCTGACTAAGGATACCTTGTCCACTTGCTTTTATGCCATTGCCATTCCACCACTCTGTCTCTGTAAGAGGATGCATGAAACACCATGTGTCCACCTGCAGCCTGAGAGAGATATGGGCTGTCAGAGTCAATGAGCTTCCTAGGCCTTCCCCTTACCTGCTTCTTACCGTTCCCTCTGGATATGAGGCCTCCAGATCCCCATCTCTCACTTAAGGTGTTCTGAATGCTTACCTTGGCTTCTAGCAGATAGGAAACCATCCTGGCCAACACAGTGAAACCCCATCTCTACGAAAAATACAAAAATTAGCTGGGCATGATGGCGCACGCCTGTAGTCCCAGCTGCTTGGGAGGCTGAGGCAGGAGAATCGCTTGAACCTGGGAGGCAGAGGTTGCGGTGAGCCGAGATTGTGCCATTGCATTCCAGCCTGGGCAACAAGAGCGAAACTCCATCTAAAAAAATAAAAATAAAAACAACAAGAAAAAAGAAAGTATTTTCCTACCTGCCTTCCCAGACTAAATTTCTTCCCCAGGCTTCAGAGTTTCTGAAAACAACCTTGCAGTGTCTCCTTCATCCCTCTCTAAGAGGCTTTATGGCTCTAGGCTCCAGGGGTAAAGATGCCCCATCACGGAAGTTGAGAAGGATGGATGAGTATGAGAAGGATGTATCTGAGTATGGCAAGTTTTATTTGGGGAAAGAGTCAAAATATAAACACTTCAAGGAAGTGTTTCATATTCATTGCATGCCTATTACAGGTAGTTTATAAAAGCTATCTTTAATCCTTCTAACAACAATTTAATGGAGGTATTTGCTCCAGCTTACAGTTTGGGAAATTGGGGCTTAAAATAGTTTTAAGAGGCAAACTTCAGATCACACAGCCAACAGCAAGGCAGGCTCTGAGCCCATGTCTGCCTTCAGCAAAGGCCAAATTTCTTTTAATATGTTCTTTTACCTTTAAGAAAGAAACTTCCTGTGAAAGAAATGCTCACTGCAGGCAGGCAATGATTGAAATAAAGAAAAAAACATGCATGGATTAATTTGGTTGATGGTCTGAGTTTTCTGTCCAGAAGAATTCTTTGGTAAAGAAAAAATTATCCAAAATAAGTGATGGGGATGTCTGTTGCTCTCAGCATTTAAATTACGTTGAATGACACTTAGGAAGATATCTCAACAGAAACAAGCCTTCTCTAGCTGGAGGTGTTTCCTTTTCTTCTGCACCTGACCTTAGAGGTAAATCATGTCATAGATCAGGCCTAACCTATGGCTTCCTTTCAGTCCCATAGAGTTAAACATATTTTATATTCCCTGAGAATCATGGAAACATTCTCAGTCCTCAGAAAGTGCAGAGACTTCTGTGTCTCAGGGCTCCTTCATATTTTTTGAGGGGGCAGGGGGTGGTTGGGGGAAAAAGTCTTTTTTCAACTAAGAATGGTAAAAGAAATTACTTGCTTGAAATGCAACATTTACTTCTCAAATACAGTCCCTTTCTTATCATGAAAACTTCAATCAAACCCATAAACTGTCTATAGTACCCAGTCAAAAATGTTCCTGTGTTACCTATTCTAACAAGCGGATTGTTGGGTTTTTCTTTGGTGGTTTTGAGTACGCCTTACCCAAAGGCCTAAGACAACTACCGTCGCCTGGCTTTTTCTTTTCCAGAAATAAAGGAAAGATACGGAAGTCCAATTCAGAAAGTACTGAAATCAAACATCCAATGGACATTATTCCCTGCAAGGAAACCCCTTATCAGTCTCTTGCAGAGATTCTAAAACGTTATCTCGATAGACCAGATTATGGGGCTGACCCACTCTCCATGCTGAGTAGGAATCAAACGGACATTCTTTTCTGTCAGCAACCCCTGCTTTGCCAATCCAGATAAATCAATTAATGGGATGCAGAGCTGCTGTCTTGCCTTTCTCTTCCCCATGCTTACCTCCCTGAGCTCCCCTGGACTCCTCAGTCCCCTGTTTAATACCATCTAAGAGTCCTTATTTACAAGAGGGCTTGTGCAGGTGCAGGCTTTCAGGCCAGCAGCACAGGAGCAATTGCCCTCCCTCCCCTTCCATCCTCCAGGCTCCCCTCTTTGTGAGACACTTTTTTCTTTTCTCTGCTTTTCAGACCAAAGACGCCCCTCAGCAGCTAATCTAATCGGATTATGCTAATTTGTACTTCATGAACCTAAACAGCATAACTAGATCTGCAGAGGGCTAAGGCCAGGAAGAGAGGGACAATGACTTTGTCAGTAAACCTACCCACAAAAAAGTGCAAAAAGAATGTATGTCCTGTGTTTAGCCACACAAAGCTGCTCCTCTGGGAAGCCTACAGAGCTCTTGACAATTTAGAGTGCTCAGGAGCGGTCTATGTTCAGAACAGAAAAGGCGGCACAGTGAAGGCACAATAAAGACCACAATGGCAAGGCTGTTTCTCCCTGTGAAAAAGTAAGGCCCCACTTCTTCCTCTTCCCAGTTTACTTACTTTCACCTCTTGGCTAATCAATTTGTAAATTTGGAAGCTGAAGTCAGGTGGTACAATTCAACAAATATTTATTGGCATCTACTACCTGTCAAGGACTACGCTCGGTGCTATGGGGTGCACAAAGTTGTCTAAGACTTGGTTCTTGCCCTTCAGAATTTATACTTTGATAAGGAAAGATATTCTAGGTACAGTTCTTTCTGCCTCATGTTGGCTGACTCTGCTAGTCATTTTCCATAATCTCCCACAGATGGTTTTGATCATTATTTTTAGTTTTTTGTTTTGTTTTTTTTTTGAGACAAGGTCTCACTCTGCCACCCAGGCTGGAGTGCAGTGGCACAATCATGGCTCACTGCAGCCTCAAATTCCTGGGCTCAAGCAATCCTCCTGCCTCAGCCTTCCTAATAGCTGGGGCTATAAGTGTGTGCCACCTGGTGCACCTAATTTATTTTTATTTTTTGTAGAGACAGGGTCTTGCTGTGTTGCCCAGGCTGGTCTCAAACTTCTGGGCTCAAGGAATCCTCCCGCCTTGGCCTCCTGAAGTGCTGGGATTACAGGTGTGAGCCACTGCACCCAGCATCACAGATAGTTTTTAAAGACAATGTATGTTCATACAAAGCTTTATATTTTATCAAAATATATAAGTATATAGTGTAATTTTCATAATAGACTATGAGATAAATAAAACTGGTATTTTCAACCCCATTTTGAAGTCTTGAAACTGAGATTTTGAGATATTAAGTGGCTCCACCAAGAGAAATCCTCCAGTTACCAATTAGACTTCTGATTCCAGAGCTAGTGTTCCCTGTCCTCTCAGCATGCTACCTCACATAAGGCTGGAGGGGACCTTACGAGGTCAGCAAGTCAGTTCTCATGCATATGAGTAGGATTGTACACAAAACTTTAAAAATTTTACACTAATAGCCTTTAAAAAGTCTTCACGCATTGTGAAATTGGAGAACTGACCCTCTTTCCCATGAGGTTCTTGATGTCCTGGGTGGTTGACACTCAGTACTTTTGCTTATTAGTTTCTAAGCAGGCTATTCCTTTGGATGATGAAGCCCAAGCAGTTGGAGACATCTTCCCTGGAGATTGTCTGCCACACACCTGTCTCTGTCACAGCTGGCAGTGGAATGCGCCTTTCTCTTATCCAGAGGACTCATTCCCTCTGGATCTCTCACTGAGTTCCTGCTTCTGATCTGAGAGACTCTTGTAATTCACAGTCCATTTACACAGCTGAAAAGATTTACTACCCTGAAATTAATGAATTACTGAGGCCTTCTCAGTCAGATGCTCATTTTGCCACATCTTCCTTTCCACCACCCCTGAAATAGCTTAAACAGACTGCAACAAATATGCAGCAATGATTAGTTTCTGTCAACAGAAGAAAAGGAGGGCACTTTTCATCTGTTTTCATTCCTGCCCCCTCTCCCTTTTAAAGCTAAAGAACATCCTTATGAATTCTCATAGCCTCAGATGCTGGTTTGGGATGAGGAGTGGAAGGGCAGAGGGTCGGAGGTGGAAGATTTCAGATAAATTTAAATAAATGATTTCTTAACACCAAAATATCCTTATTCAACTCACAATTGCCTTAGGATAGCTTTTTGTCTGGAAAGTTTCCACTAATAGTTTTAACTCAATTTTCTTAGATGGTTAATTATTACAGATCAATTTCAGACTTTCTTTTACTACTAGCCATCTAAACAATAATGAATATTTAAACACCTTAACCTTGGTGTTAATTTTGCTGTGGATGGCTTTCTTTTGCTGATGTAATGCTGCCCTGTTGGATTTTTGTGCTCCATCCACATTCTTTTGTCAAATTATCATAATGGACTAACGACTAAGGGTTAGGGTGGATGTGGGCTGCAGTGTAGATGATTTACCAAACTATTTACCTTGACCACTTTCAAATTAATTATCATAGAAATCACTCTGTGAATAAGATGATTTGTTTGTGAAAACTGTAGTGATATAGATATTTTTAACCTAGAGGAATTAAAAAAATCTGGCTAACATTTAAAAAAATCCCTGATGAATAGGAAATCTTTGTATTGTATAAGGTTAGGTAAGACCTACTAATAAACATTATTATTATGCTAGAAATTGTATTACTGAATCTATTCTGACAGTTTTTTCCCTTTTGTGTTGTTTAGATTCCAGGATTCTCCATAGGCAGAGTCTAACTGATCCCTGATGTAGAATACTATGTCAACTATCCTCCGAACCCCAGTTATACAGTTGAGTGCAGTCTCTAAGAGCTGCTGCTACTGTTAGTGTAATACAGACAAAACGAAGAACGGAAAGGAGTTATATGTCAGGTTAGAATAGGCAGGATGCCAAAAACCAAGTCCAAATAGCTTTGGGTGTTTTGCCTAGGATCAGTTTCTAGGGTAGCACAATGGGAATTCCCACATGCAAATGCAACATAAGAATCAAAGTCCACTGTCACCTCTGGGATTAAAGCCAGAGAAAGTCAACAAACAGAAAAGACCAGACGGTTATCAGATCCCCTGGTTTGGTTTATTTGGGCTTCTTATAAAGACATGTTGTATCATCTCTGTGACTGTCCTTCATTATTTATAACGACACAGCTCTCTGGACTTGTGTGTCAGTAGCTTCCCACTATGGCATTCTTTCCCCCAACTTTGTACTAGGTGTCTAGTCAGAGTAGTGCTGGTCTTTGGACTTTGCCGGAAGGTGGCTGTGGAAAGATGCCATATGTTTGAGGTATCGCAGAAGTGGGGGGCAACTTTTCAGTTTCACTCATTTACCTTTTCCCCAGCTCCCGATCCCCACCCACTAAACACTGCAGTTGCTCTGATGCCAGAGGGAGTCCTTGAGCTCTTTCTTCATCATTCTGAAGAATATAAAAATTTATCTGCTTTCTGAGCCTAGTCTTTGGTAGATGCATATGCCATGGATCAGGGGCCAATATACCAATGAATATAGCGGTGGGCCTCAGAGATTCCCAATATGATGCTGGAGGAGGGGATGTTTGGGGTGCTTGAGCCCATGGTTTTGTGGTTAGATATATAAACAGAAACAAGAGAAGGAGACTGTTCTATGGAATAGTCCATCATATGGTGGCCACCTTGCCTGCACGACACCTGTTCTTCCACCTACTTAATACAGAAATTTTTGCGTCAGTTCATGGACTTGGATTTGGGCTTCTAGGAGGCAGCTATTGTGGATGTTGGGGCTCAGAAAACAATACCCCAAAATGAAGGCCTCAGAATCAGCCTTAAGAGCAAAAGTTTTTCTTTGATCTTTTCCTGCTGTCCTGTCTTTCAGTCCCATTCTCCCCTGAGGCTAGCCATAGAAGGTATTACAAGTAATGGCAAAAACCACAATTACTTTTGCATCAATCTAATAGACTCCTTCTTCCCCAAGATGGGTTAAATTAGTAGTAATCAGAACCCCTTTTCCCCAAAGCTAGCCATAAACCCTAAAAATATTACTCTAACTTGCTTTCTGCCTCATGTCAGTGATTTTCAGCAAAGCTTCAGGGGTTCTCCTTGGATCCCAAACTTGGAGACCAGAGTCCTAGTCAACTTTCAAGCTGGGCACACTGTGACTCAAGATCTGGGAGAATGTCCGCTATTTAGTGGCCTAATTTGCTGCCATGTGATTGGCTAGAACCCTTCTGAAAGAAATTCCTTGTTTTAAATTCAGGGAGGCAGACAAAACACTATGGTATATAAAATGAGGTTATGATTCTAGAGCATTTGACAGCTAGCTGGTTCCCAGACTTTCTTAACCTCTCTAGTTTGAGTTAGCAGCTCAACCTCCAAGAGCTGTCACAATACCTTGTGTTTCCTGCTGTTATAGCATTTATCATGCCATACAATCTTTGTTCATTTGTTTGTGTACTATTAAAGTGAAGCTTCCTGAAAGCCTGGAGATGTTCTGTATCTGGACATAAAATTGATTAGATGCATGACCAGCCTTTGGGAATTTCATCATAAATATCTTCCAAGAGTCCAACGTAGGCAGTGATGGTTGTGGTCATTTTTTCAAATAACTATTGAAGCACTCACCATTCCACTTCTCCTGAATGGCGGTCTTTAGGGGAATTGATGAATTCTCATCTCTATCCTCACTGACTCTCAGGATCTAGCAGCCAGTAGAGAACAGCTGCTTAATGAATTTCAAGGCTGATTTCAGGTACCTTCGCCACTGAGCTCTGAGTCCTGGGGGGATGACATGTATTATTAGTTCCTGGCCAGGCACCTCCAAGAGCCTCATAAAATTTGCATGTGTCTGGAGCCCAAATTATATGTTTGTTCAAGCAATAACACAAGACAAGAATCTTACCCCTACTTAGGTGAAATTACTTCCCTTTCGGGAAGGAGAGGAGGGCCCTTGTACTATGCAGAAGCATATAATTGAGCCCCATAGTAGACTTGGAGTCTGCCACCCTATCTGCTTTTTAAGCATCTCTGCCCCTGAATGTAAAAAAAAAAAAAAAATAGAAATTAAAAAAAAAAGAAGTAAATGACATGCAAAGCCAATCATTTTTAAGGCCTTAGATTACTAGCGCCCAAAGATGATCTTTGATGATTAACCTGGAGTTATTAACTTCATCTGCTCTGGAAGTAATTCTTTGAGAAACAAACTTCAGGGAAGCATGGGATTAAGGAAATTGTATACAATTTAGCTGTTATGACTCAGGGTTCCAGAAGGAACCTCTGACTGAGCTGATGACACAGCAATGCCTCTGACAAACACTTAAGTGAGTAAGGATAGGATAAGATAGGATAGGCTCTTATCCCTTAGTTCACCATGCTACTCCCAGGTCTCTCTGGAGAGACAGAAAACCTAATCAGAGCCAGACTGCTTACTAGGTCCCAAGTTGCCTTGCATGTTTGTTAGAAGATGTCATTTTACCCACTTTATTGAATCTTTTTTTTTTTTTTTTTTTAAGACTGTCTCACTCTGTCGCCCAGGCTGGAGTGCTGTGGCACGACCTGTGCTCACTGCAGCCTCAACCTCCTGGGCTCAGATGATTCTCCCACCTCAGCCTCCCGAGTAGCTGGGATTACAGGTGTGTGCCACCACATCCAGCTAATTTTTTGTATTTTTAGTAGATACAGGGTTTTGCTATATTGCCCAGGCTGGTCCCGAACTCCTGGCCTCATGTGATCTGCCTGCCTCCGCCTCCCAGAGTGCTGGGATTACAGGCATGAGCCACCAGCCAGGCCTATTGAAATTTTTTGAAGTATGAAATACATACAGAAAAGTACACAAACCATAAAAATGCAGCTCTATGAATTTTCACAAAGTGAACACCCCAAGCCCATAAAACAGAACCCAAACTCCAGAACTCCCTTCCTGCATCCAACAAAAAACATGATATGGACTTCTAATTTCATAAATTGGTTTTGCCTGTTTTCGAACTCTATATAAATGGAATCATGCAAAATGTATTTTTTTAAGTCTCTGGCTTCTTTTAATACTATGTTTGTCCGATTTATTGATTTTGATGCAGGTAGCATTATTTTATTCATTCTAATTGCTGTATACAATATTGTATATATATTGCAAGTCTATACCAAGATTTACTCATTTGTACTACTTTTAATGAACATTTGGGTTGGGGCTGTTATAAGCATTGCTGCTATGAACACTTGTGTAGATGTTTTTGGTGAACATATGCCCCCTTTAGAAGTGGAATTGCTGGGTCCGAGGACATGTATATGTTCACTATTAGCATATATCACTAGTTTTCCAAAGTGGTTGTACCAATTTATATTCTCACCAACAGTGTGAGAGAGTTCAAGTTGCCTAGCATCCTCACCAGCACTTGGTTATTACCTCTTTTTTTTTTTTCATTTTAGCCATTTTGATAAGCATATCTTACTGTAGTTTATTTAACATTTTCATTAGTATTTCCGTGATGACTATTGAAATCAAGCACCTCTTCAGAAGTTTACTGATTATTAGATATCCTCTTTCCTGAATTACCTGTAAAGGCTTTTGACTATTTTTGTATTGAGCTTTCTTAAAAAATTAGTTGTCTTTCATTTATTGACTTATGCAAGTTCTTTAAAGTTTCTGGTAAGAGTCTATTGTTGGAAATACATATATGTGTGTGTTTGGGTATGTGTATGTGCATATAACAAGTATCTTCTTTTCTTGCCTTTTTACTTTTTTTTTTTTTTTTTTGAGATACGGTCTCACTCTGTCACCCAGGCTGGAGTACAGTGGCGTGATCTCGGCTCACTGCAACTTTGACAGCCTGGGCTCAAGCGATCCTCCCACCTCAGCTTTCCCAGTAGCTGGGATTACAGGCAAGCACCACCGTGCCTGGCTAATTTTTTTTATTTTTTGTAGAGACCAGGATTTGCCATGTTGCTTAGGCTGGTCTCAAACTCCTGGGCTCAAGGGATCCGCCTGCCTCGGCCTCCCAAAGTGCTGGGATTACAGGAGGGAGCCACCGCGCCAGGCCCCTTTTTACTCTCTTAAAGTGTCTTTTGGTAACTGGAAGTTTTCAATGTTAATGTAATCTTATTTATCAATTTTTTCTTCTCTGATTAGGGCTTTTTGTGAGAAGGTGTCTTTTGGATGGCAAATCTTTTTTGGTGCAACTCTTCACCTGCCTGGGAGAAATCCTTGTTTGGCCTCTGCCAGTGCTGGCATCAGTAGTTTTATATGGCTGGTCATCCACACTGTCCCTGACGTGTCTTCTTACTTCATTGAATTTTTCTCACCTAACCTTTTTGCTCTGGTAACATTGATGCCAGCTGACTACACCTCATCTATCCTTAGGTTGGATTTCTTAGTCTGAACTATGATCTGACTGACCAAACTTGCCAACCACCCAGTCTAATTAGCCAGTCTCAATCTCCTTTTATCTAAATTTATCTTCAGCCTCTCTTCTGATTATGGATTTGCAGCAGCTGTCAGCCCAGTTGTCCTAACCTCAGTCTAGTAGGGAACATTCCCAGCCTTTATTTAGACTATGTCCTGGCTAACACTTTTTTATTTTGGCATCTCAAGCTTAGGTGAATTTAGAGGACCAGAGAGGCCCTATTGAAGACTTTTCCAAAATGAACTAGTATATTTCAATATAGAGGACTTGTAGCTGGGAGCATGTGAAAACAGAACTAGAAAAACTCAAGAACATGGCTTTAGTCAAAGCAATATCATCATCTTTGTGTATTAAAGGAAGCATTACTGTTATTTCTACTTGGGCATATGTTATTACACATGTATAACACTGAAAAAAGGATATAAAACTAAAAAACAAAACACAAACCAAAAGGGAGAAAAAAAGAAAAAATTCCCAAACTTTTTCCGTGGAATGTTACAATTTTTCTTAACTTCCTGAAGTCTGTAACCTAAGCATCCTTTTTTATTGCACACTGATAATTCTGTTCATCATTTCAATTAGGTAAAACAGGTCAATACACTAGAACACAAATTTGACTGCTTTTATGCAGTTGGTAATTTTTATGAAATTAGGTCCAAATTAAATTCTATTCATGACAAGAGAAAATTATTCAAAAAGTCATTACAATATTTGGAAAATAAATTTTGAATAATAATAACCAACCTGTATCGAGGGATTTCTGCGTGCTGGGCACTGTTTTTTACATGTGTCGATATATTTAATATTTACAAAAAAACTCATGAAGTCCAGATTTTTATTTTTGTCATCCTGGGAATGAGAAAACAGTTACAAAGAAACTTGTCTAAAATACTTCAACTAGCAGCTGGCAGGGCCGGGCTTTGACTGAGGATGTCTAGCCTCATCACCTGCAGTCTTAATCACTGAGCCTCTAAAATCAATATAATCTATACAATATTAGCAGTTAAGAAAGCAGTAGGAAAGGAACTTCCAAATTCCTACTAAGAGATCTGGAGATCTGGATAGTCTAGAACAAGAGTAACAGTTAAGGTTTATCAAGCATTTGCCTTGTGGCAGGCACTTGTGAAAGCAATTTATATACCTGATCTCTTAATTTTGAAAACAACACTGTGAAGTAAGTACTGTTATTCTTATGTTAAAGACGAAGACACAGGCTTATAGAGATTTAGCAACTTTTTTTTTTTTTTTTTTTTGAGATGGAGTCTCGTTCTGTTGCCAGGCTAGACTGCAGTGGTGTGATCTCAGCTTACTGCAACCTCTGCCTCCCGGGTTCAAGCGATTCTCCTGCCTCAGCCTCCCAAATAGCTGGTATTATAGGCACGTGCCACCACGCCCAGCTAATTTTTGTATTTTTAGTAGAGATGGGGTTTCATCTTTTTGGCCAGGATGGTCTTGATCTCTTGACCCTGTGATCCTCCTGCCTCGGCCTCCGAAAGTGCTGGGATTACAGGCGTGAGCCACTGTGCCCAGCCAGCCACCACGCCCGGCCTAGCAACTATTTTCTATGAGGTTACACAATGAGTGGAGTGTCTGACTTTCAGGCCTGTATGTTTTATGCTACCACCATACTACACTGCCTCCCAAGATGAGACTATTTCTCAAATGAACTCAAGATGTAGTCAAGGATGTAATTTGATATGCTGCTAGTGGCTAGTTAAGCCTAACAGAAAAGTAGCTAAAGAGGTGGAAGATGCAGCCATAAAA
Source organism: Homo sapiens (assembly GCF_000001405.40). NCBI lineage: Eukaryota > Metazoa > Chordata > Mammalia > Primates > Hominidae > Homo > Homo sapiens. The sequence continues at coordinate 105,685,758 of NC_000009.12, forward strand.
AAGAATGAGTTCATGTCCTTTGCAGGGACATGGATGAAACTGGAAGCCATCATTCTCAGCAAACTAACACAGGAACAGAAAACCAAACACCGCATGTTCTCACTCATAAGTGGGAGTTGAACAATGAGAACACATAGACACAGGGAGGGGAACATCACACACCAGGGCCTGTCGGGGGTGGGGGGCTAGGGGAGGGAGAGAGCATTAGGACAAATACCTAATGCAAGCGGGGCTTAAAACCTGGATGGTGGGTTGATAGGTGCAGCAAACCACCATGGCACATGTATGCCTATGTAACAAACCTGCATGTTCTGCACATGTATTCCAGAACTTAAGGTAAAATAAAAAGAAAAAAGAAAAGAAGTGGAAGAATGCCTTTGCTATCATAATCGGATGGTTCCTGTCTGAAAGATGGGATACATATTTACCAAGTGAATAAACACTGTAAATAACCTGATAGTCCAGTTGAAACAGCAGAGATCGGAAAGATTTTACATGGGGTTCTCCAAGATGGATTTCCAGTTTTATGAACTACTTGCAAGGAAAAAATTCTTTCCAAGGTTAAATTACTGGGGGATATTATCCCCTTCTTAGATAATCATAATGCCTATGAAAAGTTCTGCTGTTATTAATAGTAAAAATATTCTCCTTAGCTTTTTTTGGATTGAGGAAGCATTACCAATTTTTGTATGCAAAACCATAAGAATATCCAGCTTCATGGATAAAAAATAGAATACTAGTAGATTTTTACATTTTACAGATTTTATATCTTACATTATTTATAGTTATTTAAGGCACATACAGTGATTGAAACATTCCTTGGACTATACATTCTATCCATACATATACGATTCCACTAATTGACCATTATCTTTAACAATAGTCCTGAAAATATATGTGATGTAGACCCATTCTGTATGAAAGCTAGACAAGTTTGGACTCAACCAAGGAAGTCTGTATTTATTGTCAATTGTCGCATGGAAACAGCTTACGTTGGAATAATTTCGCTTGGTGATTGTTAATCCACCTGCAACTGCATTTTCCCTCTCTGTGTCTACGGACCCTCCTGACCATGCATGCTCTGGTATTTGGACACATTTATAAATCCCTAGGTACGATTCTTTTTATTTGCCCATATATCAAGTACATGTGTTCTCACTGCTAGTGTTTCGGTTTGATCAACCCATCTATACAGATAACCGACACTTTGTGGGTTCCCAGCCACAGCCATGTGCATTTTCTTTCAAACCTCACCCATCCATCTTATTCTTTTTTGTGACAGGGTCTTGCTCTGCTGCCCAGGCTGGTGTGCTGTGGTACGATCATATCTTACTGTAGCCTCAAACTCCTGGGCTCAAGTGATCCTTCCACCTAAGCCTCCCGAGTAGCTGGGACCAGGTGCACCTCACCACTCCTGGCTATTTTTTAAACATTTTGTAGAGATGGGGTCTCACTATGTTGCCCAGGCTGGTCTCAAACTTCTAGCCTCAAGAAATCCTCCCACCTTGGCCTCCCAAAGTGCTGGGATTGTAAGTATCAACTACCACACCTGGCGTCATCCACCCCATTTTCTAATCTCCTTCCTTTGCCTGTCATCTAGTATAACAAGATGCTAATTTATCGTGAAATTCCATTAGATCCCCTAAGACAAAAGATGCTACTTCTACATTCTGAAAAGACAATTAAGCCCTGTCTATGCAGGACTTAATAAAATATAACAGCTGGCCTAGTGAACTTCACTTTCAACAATCCAAGAGGTCAAGAATTTGAAGGGAAATTCATGGAAGGGAATTCAGAGGGCTAGAGGCTTTGCCTTCCTACTCCTCTCCCTGTGAAGAAAGAGGTGCTAACTTCCCCCAAGCCAATTCAGACTCTATTTAAGCAGATAAGAAATTATTTTTTCACGTAACAGGAAGTCTGAGAAGGACAGTTGATAACTTCAATGATCTGCTATTTTCTCTCATGGTCACAACATGGCTGCCCTAGCTCTAGGCAGAAAGACAAGGAGAAGGGCCAATGTCAAGGGCATAGTCCCTTTTATCAGAGAAGCCACATATTTTCATTGATCTATTTTTCTATTTTTTCACCAATATCGTACGTCTTGATTATCACCGTAGCTTTATAGTAAATCTTGAGGCTGGACAGTGTCAGTCCTTCAACTTTGTTTTTCCTTACTTTGTTTTCAGAAGCATGTCAACCTAGGTCCCCTGAAGTTTTATTTGCCAGTATCCTAACACAAGTTCACACCTTGCTGAGAGGCTGAACAAACTATATCTAATGTTTTAACCGGATACACAGAGTTGAATATGTGTGCTGGGTTATTCAACCAGTGGTGTCTGCCTTAACTGTAGAGGTTAGGAGATCTTGCTGTGTGAGCTCCATGGCATCATTGGGGAACCCACAAATAAACCCCATGAATGAGTCTGCATTGACAGCCTGCCATAGAGAAGAATATCAATAGCCAAAAGCAAACCAAGACAAAGAAACCAAAAAACAAAAACTATGACCAACATTTGCCAACTAGAAAGTCTTCTGTTCCTTTTCTCTAATTTCCCTCCTCACTGCCCTAACCCTAGAAGACATAGCAGATGAAAGGAGCAGAAGATGAAGAAAGGCTGGAGGACTCCACCATGCCCATTGCCCCATCAAAGTCTCTGAGACAGGCAGTCCTGAGCAAATGGGAGGAAAGAAGTTCTATATTGCATGTAAGATGGATGTTTTAACTGGACTGGACTTTTTATTTTATTTAAAAAATATCTTAAGTTAGCTGGGAATGGCAGCAGGCACCTATAATACCAGCTATTTGGGAGGCTGAGGCAAGAGAATCACTTGAACCTGGGAGGTGGAGGTTGCAGTGAGCCAAGATCCTACCACTGTACTCCAGCCAGGGCAATAGAGCGATACTCTGTCTTAAAAAAAAGAAAAAGAAAAAGAAAAAGAAATCTTAAATGACAACAAAGCAATGGGATCTGCTGAGATAATGTCAAAGAATGGGATGGGGTTACTAATGATTACTAATTGGTCTTCCTGGCCCTTATCTGGTGGGTGGCCTTTTCATTGCTGTAGGGATGCTGAATCTCTCTGTAAAGGAAAACTTCAAAAGAAGTATTTGGGTTCTGTTAGACAGGAGAAAACCTAGTAGGAGTACATAGGGAAGACTGATTGTAACAGAATAGTAACAAATTTTGGTCTGTCACTGCCCATGGTGACCTCTCTAGCACTTAGTTTCCTACTTTAAAATAAATGGGTTGGCCGAGCGCTGTGGCTCACGCCTGTAATCCTAGTGCTTTGGGAGGCTGAGGCAGGCAGATCACTTGAGGTCAGGAGTTGGAGACCAGCCTGGACAACATGGTGAAACCCCATCTCTACTAAAAATACAAAAATTAGCCGGGCGTGATGGCAGGTGCCTGTAATCCCAGCTGCTCAGGAGGATGGAATCGCTTGAACCTGGGAGGCAGAGGTTACAGTGAGCTGAGATCGCGCCACTGCACTTCAGCCTGGGCAACAGAGCAAGACTCACCCTCAAAAAAAGAAAAATAAATAAATTAAAAAATAAATAAAATAAAATAAACAGGTTAAAGAAAATGATTATACTAGACATCTCTTGGGATGTCTGCCTAGCTCCCTCCTTTCTCTTTATTTTTTTTGAGACAGTGTCTCACTATGTTGCTCAGGGTGGTCTCAAACTCCTGGGCTCAAGCGATCCTCCTGCCTTGGCCTCTCAAAGTCCTGGGAGTACAGGTGTGAACCACTGCACCCAGCCGCTCCTTCCTTTTTCAGGAAATTGCCTCTGATATGTAGGGATGCATCAGATCTGAACCACGTGACCCGGCCTCCCATCAGAACTGATTAACCAGGAGTGTACAGCTGTCCCAGGCCAGGACAGGGTCTTTCTCCTGGCAATATTCAATAGGGGGACCCAGAGGCTAAGAGATGTTGGCACTGAGTATCATCAGTGACTGAGAGAAGTGCACACCCACCTGTTGCTGCTGGCCCCAGAAATGCTCTACTTGCTTTCCTTGGGTCTTGACTGCTCAACTTTTCCTGGCTTTCATGAGATTCCCTAGTAGACTTTCAGCAAATTGCTCATTTTGCTTAAGCTGCACAGAACGGTTTTCTATTACTTGGACTCCATGTTACTATTTTTTTTAAAGGGTCCATTCAACTTCCAAAATTCATTTACTCTGTGATTTAATGGTACCTGTTACTCTTTAACAGAGATGTTGAAGAGCAATATGGTGAACTTAAGTGCTGATGACCACAGACAACTGACAGCTATGGCATTGGTGGGTGACTACAGTTTTAGCAGTCCTTACGCTGAAGAAAGTTAGAGGTATTCCCATAATAACATCAGGTTTTTAATCTGGTAAGTTTGTACTTGTTATACATGGAGAACATTTTTAGTTTACTAGTTTATATTAGTGGTATGAATGACGATTATAGAAAAGGATTTTAGTTTCCAGTGCAATAAATAAGTGAGCCATGTCAGGTTTTCCAAGACACAATATCAAAGGCACTATTATTAGATACATGCTGAGTCTAAAGAGTTGAGTGTATACTTGAATTGGTTGCACTTAAATCTCATGCACTGGCATCTAATTGTACTGATTGAATTCAGTGGGTATTTTGAGGGCAATTGGTGCTCTCTAGCTAATTCTCCTTGATAATCCTGAATATTAAAAAAGGTTGAATTCAAATTACATATACTTTGTCTTAAATGTCACATATTAATACATTATCATTTGATACAGTGTGGCTATCAAGTGCTTATCAAAACAACTTTAGAATGAAAATGCCAGACCAAGATACTAAGGTTTAGGAGTGCAATTGGTCCCTTTAATATGAAACTTGCAAATCGGGGACTCTAAGGTACCTTAAAAAGTTCAATAGCGTGGTAGGGTGACTATAGTTAACGATAGTATATTGTTTATTTCAAAATGGCTAGATGAGATGATTTGATTGATAGACCTTTAAGATTCAAGAGAGAAAAACAAAAAAGATGATTTGAAATGTTCCCAACACAAAGAAATGATAAATGTTTGAGGTGGTGGATAGGCTAAATGCCTTGATTTGATTATAACACGTTGTGTGCACATATCAAAATATCACATGTACCTCATAAATATGTGCAAGTATGATGTATTAATAAAAAAATAAAATAAAAAGTTATTATTATAGATTTCCCAAAGTGAAAGGCATGCCACTTAGTGGGTAGAAAGCAGTATTGCAGGGAAGAAACAGCTAGGATTGCGTGTATGATACTGGGTTTCAGGATATTGTCAGTTTGACCCAGGAAGATGGATGTGTAAACTGAAACTAAGAAGGGTTATACAATTATTCTAGAATTAAAGAGATAAGGAACATTAGTGACATGACCATATTGTTTGTATTAATAGAGGCATATATTGTTGAAGAAAGCATTTATTCATTTATAGCAGTAGTTCTGAACCAGGGGTGATCTTGTGTCCCCCAACCCCTGCCCCTGCCCCAGAAGACATTTGGCAAAGCCAAGACATTTTTGGTTGTTGCAAGTGGAGTGTGTGTGTGTGTGCGTGTGTGCATGGTCCTGGCATCTAGTACCAGTGATGCTGCTAAACATCATACAATGCAAGCACAGTCCACCATGACAAAGAATTGTTTAGCCCCAAATGTTAATCATGCTGGTGCTGCAAAACCTGGTTTATAAAAATTAGATTCACATATTTTTGAACTAAAAAGTGCCTCCAACAGGTTTAGTCAAAACTCTTCTTCAGGCCGGGTGCGGTGGCTTACGCAGTAATCCCAGCACTTTGGGAGGCTGAGCAGGTGGATCACCTGAGTTCAGGAGTTCGACCAGCCTGGCTAGCCTGGCCAACATGGTAAAAACCCGTCTCTACTAAAAATACAAAAAATTAGCTGGGTGTGGTGGCAGGCACCTGTAATCCCAGCTACTCGGGAGGCTGAGGCAGGAGAATTGCTTGAACCTGGGAGGTAGAGGTTGCAGTGAGCCATGATTGTGCCACTGCACTCCAGCCTGGGCAACAAGAGCGAAACTCAGTCTCAAGTAAACAAACAAACAAACAAACAAAACAAAACGAAAAAACACCCCACAGAACTCATTTTTGGATATTAATACAATTAGACCAGTTTGGCTTCCTAATGAATAAGCTATACTTTGTAAATTGGATTCATTTTATCACCAATAATTATGTAATTTTGTATACTGCTTCCAAAAGTCAGGAAAACTTTGAATCTTCACATGTAATTCTCCCAAATCTTGCCTTTCCTTCTCACCAATTTAAAGGTAATTGGTAATTAAAATGCAATTGGTCCATTTAATGTAAAACTTCCTAATTGTGGACTCTAAGGTACTTTAAAAAGTTCAATAGCATGGTAATTTAAAGGTAAGAAGGAAAGGGGTCTTTCCATCCTCCATTTCCTCCTACAATGCTCATTTTAATAGACTAAATAACTCAACCACTGACCAGAAGCAAATACGGTGAGCGCATTTAAAATGTAGATGGAACTTGCCTTTTTTGTGAGATTAGGATTTAATTTCCCCTAGACCTTTATAAGGAAATTTCTTTAGGCTCTAGGCAGATAGGACCAAGCTTATTCTTACTGTTTTGAAATGCAACAATTTTCAAATTATCTTTAGAGTCTGAGATAATTAATTCCTTTCTATTGGAATTATTCTGTTTAAGCAAGTAAAGTGCTTGATTTACTTCCTTAAAAAAACCTCTGATGTTATTCATTTTGCCTTATTGATGTTAATAATGGATTTAATGGTACCCCAGAATAATACTGGTATAGACACACAATTCAGTAGTGTCTTAAAGATTACATCATATATTTTTTTAAGTCCAAAGACTAACCATATATTTTGCAAAATTTAAGACTGTTAAAATGTAAAATATTTAAAGAAATAATATCCAGGCTGGGTGTGAGTGGCTCACGCCTGTAATCCCAGCACTTTGGGAGGCCAAGGCGGGCGGATCATGAGGTCAGGAGTTCCAAACCATCCTGGCCAACATGGTGAAACCCCGTCTGTACTAAAAATACAAAAAAAACGTGGTGGCACGTGCCTTTAATCCCAGCTACTCGGGAGGCTGAGGCAGGAGAATCGCTTGAATCAGCGAGTTGGGGGTTGCAGTGAGCCGAGATCGCGCCACTGCACTCGTCTGGCAACAGAGCAAGATTACATATCAAAAAAAAAAAAAAAAAAAAAAAAAAAAAACAAGAAAAGAAAAAAAAGAAGTAATATCCAAACTCTGAGCCTAAATTCGCAAAACTAAAATTCCAAAAATAAGCGAATGTGTAAAAAGTATGGAAAGAACAGACTTAAACAGGAAAGTATAAATATTCACAGGTGGTTTTTTTCCCCTTAGTTTTGCTAGAAAGTGTGCTACAGGTCTAAAGACTTTTCTCTACGGGAAGTGCTTGCTTAGAAAACCACACGTGAAAAGTATTTGAACAAGTCTATTCTTTCTTGATAAGTAATGAAGTGTAGAGATTTACTACAATTTTCCTACGTTTTAAACACTTAGTGTTTAGGGCAGTATTTCTGACATCCAGCAAAATGCTGGTTACATAGTAGGCACGCAAAAAACATTTTGTTAAATGAATTAAAATTAATGAATACATATTCAGATAAAAAAAATTCTCCTTTTGCAGTGCATACACCCGTGAAGCTGTCACCTACCTAGCAGCTAATCACGTTTCTCCAATTTCCTGGTGCCAGCATAATCTGTTCACACATCAAATAAGTGTGCCAAGCTAGTTTTTTTTCTTACCCAAACCTATTCCTTCTTGTTTCCTATTTATCAGAATGCAACCACAATCCTCCTACTCACCCGTTCCTCATTTTATTTGACAAATGCTTCCTTTCCCGCCTGTACAGACTGACACTCACTGACGATATTCTGCTTCTACCCATGTTTCCCACAATTGGTCTCAATTTCTGCTGCCACAGCCTCCACTACCTTTTGCTTGGACCAGTGAATACCCTCTGATTTTCCGTTGTCAGTCGCTTCTCATCAATCTATTCTTAATCTTGTTGCTTCGTTGCACCTCTACTCCCTCACCTTCCACCAAACAACCCAGTTAGCGTAGAGATTAGGAGAAGAGATTCTGGCTCTGAGCTTAACATAGTGATTGATCAAGAATTTAACCTCTGGAGCCAAACTGCCTGGCTTTGTCTGCCATTCGAGGACTTTTCCCAACCTCATTTCTCACTTTGTAGTCAACCCAAAACACCTCCCTCCATCTCCCACCTAGCTTGTGTTTCTCACTTAACTTTTAAAGTCCAGCTCACATGTCACTTTACTCACTTCCCAGAATTGTAATCTTCGTTTCGAACTGCTCTCGCACGGCAGCTATACTTCTCAGTACCTGCTTTTGTACCATTATGTGCGTTTTTTCTCTTTTTATAAAAAATCTCTTTCAGGGAACGCATAGTTCTTGAGGTCAGGATATTATTGTTTTATTTTTATATCTCCAGTAAGTCACAGTGTGACTTGCACTGTGGTTGCTCGATAAATGTTAGGTGAATGACATCAATTTACAGAAATAAATCCAACTCTGAGCGTCTCCCCTTGAGGACCGTGTTTTGTTCATCTGCACGCTCTCCAGGTCCTGCACTGCGCCCAGGACCAAGAAGACGCTGGACCCTTACTAGGAGAACCGAGGCAAGAGCCGGCTGGAGCCGCGGGGAACCCGCTCGCCCCGCCCACCCGCCTAGCGCCGGTGAGCCTGCGGCTCCCGCGAAGCGCGGCCCCGCCCCCTCGGCGCCAGGGCGCACGCGCGGAGCTGGAGCCGGCGCGGAGGAGCGGGCGGCCGCGGCTGTGCCCTCTCCTACTCCTCACCGCGCGAGCGCGGGGAACCAGTAGCCGCGGCTGCTTCGGTTGCCGCGGTCGGTGGTCGTTATGGATTCTCCATGGGACGAGTTGGCTCTGGCCTTCTCCCGCACGTCCATGTTTCCCTTTTTTGACATCGCGCACTATCTAGTGTCAGTGATGGCGGTGAAACGTCAGCCGGGTGAGTGCGGGGCGCCGCGGGCCGGACCCCTCAGAGTGCTCCTGACGGCGAGGACCGTCTAAGTCGGGTGGGTCGGGTGGGTCGGGTGGGCGGCTGAGTGGCCGCTAGCCCAGACAGTTCGATGGTAGAGTTGGAGGGGCGCCAAGGGCCGGTTGGTCTGACTTACTGAGTGCAGATGGGGAAACAGCGTGGGGGAGGACGGAGGCTCTAGTACTCCTCAAAGGAGGCGTGACCTGGGGTCCGCGAGGCCGTAGCCTGGGCGAGCAGGGCCGACCTTGCCAACCGCCCGCAGAAGTCCCAGGACTGACAGAAGCTGCCGCAGCGTTTCGGAACCACAGATATCCGCGCCAGCCCAGGGCTTGGGCGGCCTCCTCGCGGTACCGCCACTCGCTCGCAGTGTCGCCACTCGCTCGCAGTGTCGCCACTCGCTCGCAGTGTTTGAAAGTCATGTGAGGAGACAGCAGGTTTCTGACTCAGTCTCTTGGAGTAATAGATGGTTGCGGACTACTCTCCAGTTATGAAAGTTGTACAAGCACTGAAACAAAAAGCCTCCTGTAGCCAGACCAGGATTCCCCTTCACGCAGTGTCCTAACACCCTGCCTAGCATGTGAGAAGCGAGTGCGTTCCCCTTTTCACAGTCACGACGGACACTGTACAAGCAAGAGTTACCTGGCGTAGTTTCACTATCTGCAGAATGGGGATATAGTCTTGAAACAGCATTTTGAGTTCTTTTAGCAATGCGATCAAGGGACAGTAGTTGTATTTTATTGGATTTTACACCAGGGTGCGTTTGCTCTAATACTGCTTTACTTTTGTAGTTATTCTACTGTGCTTTTAGTTGTATGGACCTCTTCTTTCTTTGAGGTCAGACATTTCTTTGCCTACTTTCTTTGTGTTCTTGCTGTCTTTCATCTGCCTTGCCCTACGGATAGTTGATGAGTGAGGTCTGGAGGATGATGCTGTATCTTTCTTATGGACTACTTACTGGTTTTAAAAAATCCTTAGACCTCAGAAATATTTTTCATTTATGTTGAAGTTTGTAGCTCAGTTTAAATCGTTGGTACAAATTTTGACCTGGATGAGGATGGTATTACTGCATTAAAGTAGAACACATTATCTGCATAAGATATTATTTCTTTGATTTGAAAAAAGTAAGTTTTGTTGCTACTACATGTTCAGAATTTGATTAAAAAAATTTTTTTTTGTATAGGCTGAATCAGATGTTCACATTGTGGTCCAGGGACCCATGGGATTCTCTGACACTGCCAGTTTAAAATTACTTTCGTAATAATATGCAGATGTTATCTTTTTCACTCTCATTTTTTCAGAAGTGTACAGTGGAGTTTTCCAGAGGCTACCTGAGTTGTGATACTGTAACAGAAGGAAGTAGATATGAGAATCTAACAGTTTTCTATTTGAAGCCAGACATTTGTTAGAATGTACACAGTGTGATTCTTCTCACTAAATGTTTTTTGTTTTGGAAAAGTTATTTTTCATAAAGAATACATTATCATTATTATTATTATTATTTTTGAGACGGAGTCTCTCTGTCGCCCAGGCTGAAGTGCAGTGGCGCGATCTCGGCTCAGTGCTGCAACCTGTGCCTCCTGGGTTTAAGCGATTCTCCTGCCTCAGCCTCCGGAGTAGCTGGGAGGCGCCTGCCACCAAGTTCGGCTAATTTTTGTATTTTTAGTAGTGGAGACGGGGTTTCGCCATGTTGGCCAGGCTTGAAGAATACATTATTTATGTTAACATTTAATACATTTACTTTTTAAAAAATGAAAACATGAAGAACAATTGTTGCATAGTGGACAGGTCTATGCAGTCCTATCCCCAAAGGCTGAGGAAGCTGAGAGGCTGAGGAATCCAGTTTCTTAGAAAGAAACCTTTAAAAGGGACTTAAGAACAGAAGCCATGTCTTGGGTGGCCCCAAGGAGATGGTGGATCACCCCATTACCCGACCCCCAACCCCCAACCAGAGATGTGTAGGACAGTTGCTTAAGAGCAGGATTTATGGTAAGTGAAATAGCGTCAAGGTTGTTTGACCTAAGGGCAAGATCGGTAAGTGTATACTTTTACACAAGGAACAGTAGATAAAATATAAATCTTAGAGGCAATCCCAGAACTGGGGTTAATCATAAGTCAACATGGCGGATGTTGGAGTTGCTTTAGCCGCCACAACTATTTAAAATTTTCTCAGTTATAATTTCTAAGATGCTAAGTATTGATACTTGTAGCCAACATAAACAAAACCTTTTGGGGTTGTCAAGAAATTTAAGTCCGATTTTTTAAAAGATGTAATTCACATAGAATCTGTTCACCATTTTTAATAAAAAGTTCTGTGTTTTTGGACAGACACATACAGTCATTCAACTACCATCACAATCAAGATACTGAACGGTTTCCTCACCCACCCTAAATTCCTTCCTGCACTTTTGTGTAAGCTGTCCCCTATCCTTGGCAAGCATTAATCTGTTTACTAATTTTTAGGGATGTAGAGGGCTCCTGAGATTCCATAATTTGAGAACCACGTGATTATTGAATACTTATATAGTATCATACAGTACCAGTACTTGTAAGGAGGTAAAAATGATGGAATTCAGACACAAGAGTGAACAGTGTACCTGTTTAGCCTTTTACCCGAAGTGTGTTAGACTGCCCATTTCCTTTGACAGTTCTATTATTGGTCTTCAATATCTTGCCATTCTGATGATCAGAAAGCAATTTTTCATTTATGTTTGTCATGGTACTGATGTGTTTGTGCCTCTTATTGGTCATTTGTATTTCATGTAAATTGCTTAATTTTTTTTTGTCCATTTTCTTATTGGGCTGTAGGTTATTGTCTTCTATTTACTGTCTTTGTGGATCATGGATATTCATTCTATTTATGTCTGTAGTCCTTTTTTCCCATAACTCTTGCTATCTTTAACTTTGTTTATATTGTCTTTTATTGCAGAAGTTTAAAAAATCTCATAATATTTTTACTTTTCCATGAAAAAATCTATTAATTTTTTTCTCCTATGTCACTATTGGGATTTGTGCATTTTAAGAAGGGGTTTCTCAGGCCTAAGGTTATAAAAATACTCGTCCTTGATCTTTTTTTAAAAAATTCTATAGTTCTATAAAAGTATAGGTTCGTAATCTATCTGCAGTATTTTTTGTTGTATAGATGTTCCTTTGCAAGTCTGGTCATGGCTGGATAGAACAGTTGGAACTCAATGATCTCAGCAGAGTATGCTCTATGCTCATTGAACTGGTTCTGCTCTAGACCTTTACTAAGATCATCCCACGTGCATAGACCTCTGGAATGTCCTTAGTTCTTGTTTGTTTTCTTTAGCGTCCCATTTTTTTTTTTTCTGTGAGCTACTGAAGTCCTTCCAATGAATTCTTTATGGCTTAAGTTTGTTGGTTTTTGCTGCTTGTAGCCAAGAACCCGGGTTCCATTTCTTTTTCTAGCCTCTTATATATTAAAGAGTGTTTTGTTGAATACTAATGATAGTGAGTGACTTTGTCTTACTCCTGATATTCCTGAATTTAATGAGAATGCTTTTAAAGTTTTCTCAAGAGTGATGTTTGCTATAGGTTTTTATGAGGGACACTTTAAGGAAGTTTTACTTTATTCCCAACTTTCTAGGATATCCCTATATCTTTACACCATCCTGGTGGAGAAGGTGACATATTTTATCAAGTGCTATTTTTTTTTCAAAATCTATTGAGATCATATTGTGTTTCCCATTTAAAAATGTAATGTAGTGAATTACATTATTACGTTTTTTAAAAAATGATGAATCATCCTTATATTCTTGGACTAAACTACTTGATACATTATTTTAATTCATTAGGGATTTTGATTTGGCAGTACTTCATGTAAAATTTTTGCATTTATGTTTATAATAGAAATGAGCCTATTAGGTTATTTTATTGTGTGACCCTCAGTTTGGGCCCAAGGTTATGCTGTTTTTGTAAAATAGATTGGGAAGCTTTCCATTTTTTAAGCTTGGAATGGTTTATTTAATAGGCATTGCTTGTTCTTTGATATTTGGTAGACTTCAACTATGTAGTTTTATGTTTCTTGGTATATTTTAATGGGTAAATCTTATTTTTTTTCCAATCCAGACCTAAGTCATTTTGGTAATTTATGTCTCTCTCAGGAATCATCTATTTCTTTTAGACTTCCAAGTCTATTGGAGTAAATGTTTACATTATATTGTAGAAAATTTCTCTGGATTCTTTGGTAGTTAATTCTTAAATGTTATCTATTTCACTTGAATCTTCTGGATCTTAATCACTTTATGTCCTATGGTAATTTTTTTACACTCCATATATGTCTTTTTTTCTTCTAACTCATTTTGAATAAGATACATTTGTTCAGGCTCAGTAGATGGAGTGAGTAGCTTGTATTACTCTCTATTTATGTGGTCAGCATTCCTTTTTCATAGTCAGAACTGAAGCTAATATGTGTGTACTCCTCCTACTCCAACACCACTTCTTTTAGATTTTTACTTAGAATATGTATGCATTACTTAATTGGCAACTTTTTCCTATCCCCCCAGTGATTGATTCTCTAGAACTCACACCTACAGTAAACTGTAATTCTCATATATCCTACTGCCAGAGTTCTTCATATATTTACCCTCTCAGACGTGTTACTCCTTGAGACTTTATTTTGGTATGCACTCTGCCACTAACAATACCTCACTCCGTACTTTCCCACCATTTATATCGGATCTTTTGTACTGTCTGCCTAGATCTTAAACAATGCCACCAGAAGCAAAATGATAAAGGGGATTAACTCTTTTCTGCCTAAGGTGTGAAGGACTGCATCCCATTTTTGTTTGGTTCAGGTTTTCGGCTTTAAAATCCCAGGAAAGATAATACTCCTCCAGCCTTCTATGTAACTTTTGCTTCATAAGCAAAGACATAAAAGACATCAGGTAATACAACAAGTGGGATTAATTTTTTCTTTGTTTACCTCCATTTGTCTCGTGAACAAACATGTGAATCCTCCTGAACCCTTGCGTGTGATTGGCTATAGTTTTCAGTTTGGGCTGATAGTATAAGTTTTTTTTGTTTGTTTGTTTTTCTTTTCTCTGTCTCCTGGGCATTTTATTAGGAAGTTGGAATATGCTGTTTTGGTGGTTGCTAGTGAGAAGCCATTTTAACAGGAAGTTTACATCATTACTTTTAATCTATCTTATCTTACATTTTAAATGTCTCTTAAGTCTTCATTAAAATAAACACATTTCTTCAATCCTACATTCACATCAAACCACCATTTTGTGTAAGACTTCCTGACTACAGTAATTTCTATTACACACAAAATGTATTGTTTTACTCTAAATTCTGCCATGACTATTCTGCTAACCTCTCTGAAGTCATACATAATTAATTTTAGCAAATATTCATTGAAACTCTGTATTGGGCATTATATTAGATGTTTAGGATACCGCCATGAAAGATGCTGTTATAGCCCTAAAGAGACTTATTGGTGCTTTTTCTTTATTTTTGATAGTGTCACATAAGGTTGCACTACCTTTTCTACACAATAATAGTAGCCATCATTGATTTTAGATACTGGGAGAACATTTCAGTATGTTAATTCTATTCCTCACACATTCCTGTAAGGTAGGTATTATTTAACTCATTTTATAGATGAGGAATAGTTTTAAGGGATAAAATAACCTCCCTTAAGTCACATGGTTTAGTAAATTATGGAGCTAGTTCTTGACTCCAGATCTGGTTCATTCCAAAATTTCTTACTATTCTGTGCCTTATCTTTGCATGACCATTTACTGTTCCTGGTTTCAATAATTAGCAATTTCTCAATAAGGTGTCACTTGACATGGTTATTTTCTCCAATGATTTCTGTCGTTTCTATGAATTAAATCCTGGAATAAAGTTTGTCATTGTTCCTTTCCTGTAATTTGTGGGAGATGAAAGTTTGTAAGTCTAGGATTTATCAGTTCTGGGCATCCTGGAAAGGTGACAGCAGTGGTGGCAGCTGAGTTTTGCAATATCTTTATGAGTCCCCATGTAAAAACAGGGAAAAGTGCAAAAGTCATAAATGTACAGCTCAGTGGATTTTCAAACACACCCATATGCAGATAAAAATAGAACATTTATGACACTCCCCAAAGCCCCTTTGTTACATGATTTAAAGAGCCAGAGGCCATGTGCACGGGTTCACATGGCCTGTGGAGGAAACACCTGAGCAGTGTTTCCTCCACAGGGGTCTCAGTCTGGGCTCTAAAGAGCTCCTCCACCAAGTTTCTAAATTTTAATAATTTCAGCCTATTGTTCCCCCAGAGTAGTAACTGCTTTCTGGAACTGAACTCTGTGATAATGTAGTATTTACTTTTTGCCTTTTCAATAACCTAGTTAACAATTTTATACCTACTGAGTTCTATTTAAATAATGGTATTTTCTATCTCCTGACTGGACAGATACCCAGGAGTAGGGTTTGAACTTCCTACTTTCTGGTTTGCATATATCTTATTAAGATAACTAAAGTACTTGCTACTTGCCAGTCTTCAGACCCGGTCAGTGTAATGTCATCAGTGCAGCAGATCAGTGTGATGTGTGATTTCTCAATGTGATCAAAATCTCTGGACTATTTTAGAGAGCAAGAGTGTTAACATAGACCTGAAGCAAGACTGTAATGGTTGAACAAAGCACAAAGTGCTTCTGAGATTTTTTGCAAATTAATAGGAAGAAAAAAGCATTTGCTTCCAAGTTATAAGAATTGTGTTGATTTGACCCCGTAAAAATACTACATCTTGAATACTAGCTGCAATTACAGTCACGACCTTTCTGTGTTTATAATTCATAGCTATTCTCCAAGATCCATCTGTCTTATATTTAGATCAAACAGGTAAGTTAGTGGAATGTGGTAGCTATCACCACCTTTTTGTCTTTGGTTGTGGCACCAATTTCTGTGGTATTGTTTTTGGTTACTTTGTTGGTGAGGAGAGGAATACCTAGGGGCTTCTATGTGATCCATTATACCATATTGCTCCTTATGCCATAAATCAGAGAATCTATATGGGCATTGAGTCAGTTGCCAAGTATGTCTGTTCTAATTACTCATTAAGGAACTGGGGAATAACTGCAAGGTGAGTATGTGGATCTACCTGGCCCACTATGATTCAAACTTGATCTAAGGCTGGGTGCAGTGGCTCACGCCTGTAATCCCAGCACTTTGGGAGGCTGAGGCAGGAGGATCACTTGAGGCCAGAAGTTTGAGACCAGCCTGGCCAACATAGTGAGACCCCATCTCTGAAAAAATTTAAAAAAATTTAAAAACCAAAAAAATCCCCCAAACTTGATCTAAAACTCCTTGAATTGTGTCATAGATAATCTGTAAGCCTCTGTTGCTTACGTGATTATTTTTAAATAATTTTGATGAAAAAGCATACTTGAGGCATATAGGATATGTTGTTCATTTTTCTCTCTTTTTAAAAAGAAGATAAATCTATAAAGGGGAAAGACTAAAGCAAAAGTAAACTAATATGCAATTTAAAAATATGTAATATGTAGAGTTGAAGTTTTAAGAAGGCTAGAACATTCCCATGCTTCTTTCTAGAAGTTATGTCAGCCACTAGCAAGTTGAATGTCAACTGTTTTGAAAATAGCTACAGTGCAAGTAGTTCTTAAAAACAGGGACACACTCTGGAACTAAAATAGACTGAGTACAAGAAAATAAAGAAGTCATGTATGCAGTGCATTAACAAAATATCTTTCTAACTTTTGTTATAACTGTAAGTTCATAAAACTATTAAGCGTAGTCTAATGATTCATTTTGCCAGAATTTGGGATTATTTTGTAGATGTGATTTTAAATGTATTTATGGAAGTACAGTGTGACTTTATTTTTCTTTGTAGCTTTCGTTTCATGATGAAGTTATTTATTTATTTATTTATTTATTTTTGATACAGGGTCTCACTGTGTTGTCTAGGCTGAGTGCATTGGCACTATCATGGCTCACTGCAGCCTGGAACTCCTGGGCTCAGTGATTCTTCCACTTTAGCCTCCTGAGTAGCTGAGACTACAGGTGTGTACTATCAAGCCTGGCTAATTTTTTATATTTTGTGGAGATGGGAGTCTTGCTATGTTGCTCAAGCTGGTCTCGACCTCCTGGACTCAAGCAATCCTCCCAGCTTGGCCTCCCAAACCAAAGTGTTGTGATTGCAGGTGTGAGCCACCATGCCTGGCTGAAAGCATTTTGATATTAAAGTTCATATGTAATTATTTGCATTTTAAACATCTTATATTTGGAATTAGATTTAGGTCTCAATGTGACAAATGTTGCTAAGAATTTTGGGGAAAATAATTCTATTGATAGCGTATTTCAAACATCTTAAGGTAGGACAGAGAAATTTCTTTTTTCTCTTCTAAATGCCAGTACATTAAAATAAAATAATTTGAGTTGGAAGCCAGGTGTGGTGGCTCATGCCTGTAATCCCAGCACTTTGGGAGGCTGAGGCGGGTGAATCACTTGAGGCCAGGAGTTCCAGACCAGCGTGGCCAACATGGTGGAACTCTGTCTCTACTAAAAATACAAAAATTATTTCCAATTTCATCCATGTCTCTACAAAGGACATGAACTCATCATTTTTTATGGCTGCATAGTATTCCATGGTGTATATGTGCCACATTTTCTTAATCCAGTCTGTCATTGTTGGACATTTGGGTTGGTTCCAAGTCTTTGCTGTTGTGAATAATGCCGCAATAAACATACGTGTGCATGTGTCTTTATAGCTGCATGATTTATAGTCCTTTGGGTATATACCCAGTAATGGGATGGCTGGGTCAAATGGTATTTCCAGTTCTAGATCCCTGAGTAATCGCCACACTGACTTCCACAATGGTTGAACTAGTTTACAGTCCCACCAACAGTGTAAAAGTGTTCCTATTTCTCCACATCCTCTCCAGCACCTGTTGTTTCCTGACTTTTTAATGATTGCCATTCTAAGTGGTGTGAGATGGTATCTCATTGTGGTTTTGATTTGCATTTCTCTGATGGCCAGCGATGATGAGCATTTTTTCATGTGTTTTTTGGCTGCATAGATGTCTTCTTTTGAGAAGTGTCTGTTCATGTCCTTCGCCCACTTTTTGATGGGGTTGTTTGTTTTTTTCTTGTAAATTTGTTTGAGTTCATTGTAGATTCTGATGAAACTGGAAATCATCATTCTCAGTAAACTATCGCAAGAACAAAAAACCAAACACCGCATATTCTCACTCATAGGTGGGAATTGAACAATGAGATCACATGGACACAGAAAGGGGAATATCACACTCTGGGGACTGTTGTGGGGTAGGGGGAGGGGGGAGGGATAGCATCAGGCGATATACCTAATGCTAGATGACGAGTTAGTGGGTTCAGTGCGCCAGCATGGCACATGTATACATATGTAACTAACCTGCACAATGTGCACATGTACCCTAAAACTTAAAGTATAAAAAAAAAATACAAAAATTAGCCTGGTGTGGTGGCGCGTGCCTATAATCCCAGCTACTTGGGAGGCTGAGGCATGAGACGTGCTTGAACTCAGGATGCTGAGGTTGCTGTGAGCCGAGATCACTCCACTGCACTCCAGCCTTGGCAACAGAGCGAGACCCTGTCTCAAAATAAATAAATAAGTAATTAAGTAAATAAATAAATATAGTTTGAGTTAGAGACATTGTTCATATCTAGAATGTTTTATTGGCCTTTTTTTTGGGTGTTTTTTTGACTTTGACATTTAAAAAATATAAGCCAGTTGTTGTTGTTGTTTGTTGTTTGTTTTTGTTTTCTCAGAGTAGCCCTCAGTTTGGGTTTGTCTGATTCGATTAGTTCAGGTTGTATATTTTTGTTAGAAATAACCACAGAAGTGGCCGGGCTCGGTGGCTCACGCCTGTAATTCCAGCACTTTGGGAGGCCGAGGTGGGTGGATCACGAGATCAGGAGTTTGAGACCAGCCTGGCCAACATAGTGAAACCCCGTCTCTACTAAAAATACAAAAATTAGCTGGGCGTGGTGGCAGGTGCCTGTAGTCACAGCTACTTGGGAGGCTGAGGCAGGAGAATTGCTTGAACCCAGGAGGTGGAGGTTGTGGTGAGCCAAGATCGCATCACTGCACTCCAGCCTGGGGAACAGAGCAAGACTCTATCTCAAAGTAAAAAAAAAAAAGAGATACCACAGAAGTGATGATGTGTTCTCAGTGTATCATATCAGGAGTCACTTGATGTTATTTACAGTGATGTCTGAAAGGTTTCCCCCACTCTCAAGTTATTATTTTCCTCTACAATTAATAAGTAATTAGTTAAGACTCGTGTTGAGGTAGTATAAATATCTATTCCTAAGAAACCTTTCACCTTTAGGTTTATTTTGTTACTCTGTTTCTCACCTGTCTTGTTGAAAGCTTAGTTTATTTATTTCAACTTCTTTATTTTCCAATATACTTAAGATTGTAAATTTTTCTTAATAAATCACTTTGACATATTGTCTGGGAGTGCTTACTGTAGGGTTTGGGATGGAAGGAGACAATAAGTGAGAATATCGTTTATAATAATCCATTACTAGGAAACTGGCAATGACAGCCTAAACAGAACAGAGTATTTTAAAGGTGCCAAAGTGCCAAAAATCACCCATTAACAAAATGTTTCCAGTCTTGCTTTAAAGAATAAAAGGTATGATTTTTAATGATTTTGACTGGCACACCTATGAATAATAGTTGTTGAAAATTATGAATTTAAGAAGTTTATTTGTTTAGTGCAACTTGTACTTTGGGGCTTGTTTAATAAATGTATAATGATCACAGACCATATTTTACTTTACCATTTCAGGAGCAGCTGCATTGGCATGGAAGAATCCTATTTCAAGCTGGTTTACTGCTATGCTCCACTGTTTTGGTGGAGGAATTTTATCCTGTCTACTGCTTGCAGAGCCTCCATTGAAGTTTCTTGCAAACCACACTAACATATTACTGGCATCTTCAATCTGGTAAGCTGCCAGTATGGTGACCTATGTGACATTTAAACAATTGTGTTGTAAATTGTTAGTAAAATGAATTTTTTTTTCTTTGAACAATATTTTACGTGCTTGAAAAGTTAATGCATCTGCAAGGAAGGAACCCAAATAATGCTAAGGGGTTTTTTTTTTTTTTTTGAGACGGAGTCTCACTCTGTTGCCCAGGCTGAAGTGCAATGGCATAATCTTGGCTCACTGCAACCTCCACCTCCTGGGTTCAAGTGATTCTTCTGCCTCAACCTCTGGAGTAGCTGGAATTACAGCACCCGCCCTCACGCATGGCTAATTTTTGTATTTTTGTAGAGACGGGGTTTCACCATGTTGGCCAGGCTGGTCTTGAACTCCTGACGTGAGGTGATCTGCCCGCCTCGGCCTCCCAAAGTGCTGGGATTACAGGTGTGAGCCACCGCACCCAGCCATGCCAAAGGCTTTAAGTGTAAAGTATATCTCTTTCTTTTTTATTTTCCCTTATCTTCTCCCAGAAGCAATTATTGTCTGCCATTGTCTTATGTACCTTTTTTGTTGTTGTTGAGACATAGTCTTGCTATGTGCAAGACTGCAAGTGCAGTGGCGCGCTCTCAGCTTGTTGCGGGACGCAGAGGATTAGAGAGACCAGTATGCGTGAATACAGGAGGATATTTATTGTGAGGTACACACCGGCTCAGTGGATTTACCTCCAAAAAGCTGGGCCTTGAATAAAGACAGAGCGAGGTTTTTATAAGTGGGCTCATAAGAGCAAAACAAAGGTAGTTAATCATATAGTGCATAACTTGTGGCCTTGCATAGCTGGTGGCCTTTTAGCTGTGTCAAAAGAAAAACAAGAATTGGCTAAATACAGGCATTTGTAAAACACCGTTATGCTTAAGAGGCAAGGGAAAGGAGTAACAATAAAGGAATTTGTCTTTCTCTCTCTTTTTTTTTTCCTTAACCTTGCTCTGGAGGGGGCGGGGGTGTCTGGAGCCCATTCCTCTGTCCTTGGCTTTTTGGACAGTGTTATAACTGTTCTTGAATTGAGCTGCTAAGCAGAGGAAAACTTTTTTTTTTTTCTTTTTAACCCTTATTACAGGCTCACTGCAACCTCCACCTCCTGGGTTCAAGCGATTCTCCTGTCTCAGCCTCCCAAGTGGCTGAGATTACAGGCATGCGCCACCACGTCTGGCTAATTTTCTGTATATTTAGTAGAGACGGGGTTTCACAATGTTGGCCAGGCTGTTCTCAAACTTCTGATGTCAAGTGATCTGCCCGTCTCAGCCTCCCAAAGTGCTGAGATTACAGGCGTGAGCCACCATGCCCAGCCTGTCTTATGTATCTTTAATAGAAGCATTTCCAATATGAAAGGGCATTAAGTATTTGGCCCTAGAGTTTATCTTGTGAACCTAACTGATACACGCAGATATACAACATGATAAAATCATGTATGTGACCAACTGAAACTAACCAAAAAGTCCAAATAATTATGGCTCATATTTAATTATTCTTCTCATACTCTGTTGATTTTATGAGATCTTTAAATTTTATAATTTTGAAGTGAAGAAAAAAATGTTACCCGGAATTGCCTTGAATTCTTGCAAATCCAAATTCGTTATCCTTAAGAGGATTGATCCATCAAGTTTAAAATAATCTATAATAAAAATTATAGTTTTTTTAATGTATAAAGCAGAAACTGTTTTCTGTTAAGAACCATATCATTAAATATATAACAGGAACACTTACAGTTCATTTTTATTGTGATAATTTTAAAATGAATATGTAACCAGTTCTAAAAGGGATATTACAAATAATAGTAGCAATGGGAAAAAGTAATCCTGGGAACCTATGGCAATGTTGAGTTGTTACGATATGTCAGTTAAGTTCTTTATATTCATTGTTATATTTAATCAGAGGAGTACTATAAGGTAGCTATTATTATTTCCATTTGACAAATGATAAAATTGAGGCATAGGGAAATGCTGCTATAACTTTCTTGTCTAGTAAGTGGTTGAGCTAGAATCAAAACAAGAAGTTTTTAACTTTAGAGTCTTCACACTTTGTAGCCACTATCTCTCACAGATTTGTTTAACCATCTCTTAAAGTGTAGTCTTCCAGTTGCTATGTGTTTTAAAAAACTTTCCCAAAGACTTTTATTTCTATAACAATATTTTTAAAAGTTATTAGCATTTTGGAAGAATTTTTTGATGTGTATAGATGCTGAAACTATACAAAAAGGAAGATATCCAGAATTTGATACTTTCTGTTATTTCTA
This sequence comes from Homo sapiens, assembly GCF_000001405.40. Taxonomy (NCBI): domain Eukaryota; kingdom Metazoa; phylum Chordata; class Mammalia; order Primates; family Hominidae; genus Homo; species Homo sapiens. The sequence continues at coordinate 105,708,023 of NC_000009.12, forward strand.
CTTCTGTTCCTATAATACTAACCTCCTGGATGATTGCAGGAGCTTCCTAAGTGGTCTTGCTGCTTCTTTGATTATCCCTTTGAGTCTATTCGTTATTCTTCATGGAGCAGACAAAATTATTACAGTTGGCCTTCTATACCCATGGGTTTTGCATGCTTGAATTCAACCAGCTGCAGATCAAAAATATTTGGAAAAAAATCCAATAAAAAATAACAATGCAACAATAAAAATAATGCAAATAACAATAATGTGTAACAACTATTTGTATAGTATTTACACTGTATTAGGTATTATAAATAATCTAGAGATGATTTAAAGTGTAGTGGAGGATGTGTGTAGGTTATGTACAAATCCTCTGCTATTTTATATAGGGGCTCTCACATTCACAGATTTTGAAGGAGAATCCTGAAACCAGTCCCCTACAGATACTGAGGGACAACTTAAGTTAGAACATGTCACTCATGTGCTCAGTAATTTCTTATCTTATTAAGAACAATATCCCAAACTTTTACCATGGCCTGTAAAACCCTGCAAAATACTCGCTTTCACTTTCTTTTATGTAACGTCTTACAACTCTATTCTTGCTCAGTTTGCTCTAGTCACATGAGCTTTGCTATTTCTTGAATGTTCCAACGTAAGGTATTCTTCTACCTCAATGCCTTTGTACTTTCTTTCTTCTCTTTGTAATCTTTTTTTCCTCAGAAGTCTCATATTTTGTTTTATCAGAGAGGCCTTCCCTGACTAAAGTAGCACCTCCTCTCCCATGACTATCACATCATCCTTCTTTATTTTTCTTCTTAGAATTATTGCTATCCAACATGTTATCTGTTGATTTTTTTTTTTATGTTGCTCTAACTATACTGGAATAATAGCCCATCAGAGAGTGAGCCATCATGCCTGGCCCCTGGCTAATGTTTAAAATTTTTATATTTGTTGAGATGAGGTCTCACTATGTTTCCCACGTTGGCTATTTTTTTTTTTTTTACTGTCAAAGTTATTTATTCACTATACATAGAACATGTCCCCTATAAAATGTACATGTAAATCACTAAAAAGTAAAATTTGGTGAACATTTTCTCAATTACAGAACATACTACATCAGTTGGGATAATAGCTGTCTACCTTAAAATAATCTAATTATAGCACCCAGTCTCGTTTATATCTAATGCAAAGTTAAATACTTATTTTGGGGGTTATTTCCTAGTATGTGTTTGGTGAGGCTGAGTAAACAATTTAATATAACTCCAGTATATTACAGTCACTGCACAATAAATCAGTTTATTACAGATTAAAACAAATCATTTTTTAATTATTTGTAATAATGGGATCAGACAAACACGGGATAATTTTAAATGGCATATAACCACACAATTACTTATCTTTGATAGTATATTGGGTTCTATAATTATATTAAGATATGAATGGTGTAAAATATTGTAACGAATAATACATCTCAAACAAGACAATTAGGCCATACTGTAATCATTCACTAGATTGTACCCAGTAGACATTTACTGAATAAGGGAATTATCTACTTTTCTCCTCAATTAACCAGTACAATGTTTTGCCCACAGTGTCAGCACTCAATAAATATTTGCTGAACATACTGACTAGGATAGAGGTGAGAAGAGATGGGCCCTCTTAGCTGGATGTCGAATATAATTGGAATTTACCTGGGAAGGAGAGTAGTTAAGGAAGATGTAAACTGCATGTGGTGTACAAGTAAATAAACGCAGATGCCAACAAAGCCAATGATTAAGCAGAAAACACTGACACCAAAATAAACAAAGGCAAGATTTGCCAATAATGGCGAAAATGGAACTTTTATATTGGACCATAACTTTTCCCACCTAAATCAGTTTGAGGCAGACCAACAGAGGCACTGTAAGAGACTACGGCTGTCTTCCTTGATATTCAGACATCCTAGTTTCCAATAATTTATTATGGACCTATTACCCATGAATCAATATACGCTTATTCATATTTAGGGATTAGTTTCCGCAAGTACAAAGTTGAATGTCCTTTTATTTGTCCTAAAATGCTTACTTTCAAACTTGAGGGGACTTCAATTATTCCATGTAGTTTTCGATAACATTCTTTTATCTTTTCAGACCAGAGTCAAAATATTTGTACAGTATTCATACTGCAGCACCTTCCACACACCCCTTTGTCACTTGAACTGCCCTTCTTTGGTTCTTTTTCCACTTTCAGATCTTTCTTGAAGTCTAGTAAGCACAACTGTACTGGATATTCCAGCTACAGTTTGGTCTGTCATTGTCGGAATGGCTTCTGCTACTCTGTGGTCTTCCAGCCAGTCTATTTCTAGGATTATATGATCTTCTATAGTTGTTATGAAAAGACTGACTTCATGATCTCCTTCTTTCATAACTTCGGCTTCTAGGACGTCTGTATCTGTCATAATCATCATAGCGTGAAGAACTGTACATATTCCTCCCTTCCTTGGCTTTCATCTGATTTGGTGTCTTCCGATCCCCCTGGGCAAACTGTATTTCAATCTGCCCTCCACAAATCCACTTTCTGTCCAAATTATATAAAGTGTCTTCAGCATCAGGAACACCCTCAAATTGAACAGAAGCAAATCCTCTCTTGGATGGTGAGTGTGGAAATCAAGTGGAACATACACATCAACTATAGGATCATAACGACCAAATTCACACCGTAAATCTTCAGACCTGGTGTCGTTGGCTATGTTCCTGACAAACAGAGACATGTTGGGGAGACGGCAGGTAGCGGGACATGAAGGCTGCGTGTCTCCACTGGGTGCACTAACGGGCCCAGCAAACCGTCCATGGCTCTGGCTGCCAAGCCTCAGACACACACAGCCAGAGGGCTCCGCTATGGCAACCGCCTCTTTTCCTGAGACTTCACTCCCACCTCCACTGCCCACCTCCTACCTCTGCGCAAAGCTGGGACCACGGTGGTTCTTTCCCGCAAGATCACCAGGCAGCTGGTGATTTTTTTAAATGCAAAATTTCAAGTAATACTGAATTAGTTACAAAAAGTATTTATAAAGTTATGCAAAATAGAATTGTGATATAATGAAGTTATATATCCATCATTTAGATTAGGAAAAAAATTGTCACTTAAATAAATCTTTGTATTAAAAAGTGAAAATAGCTGGGCACGGTAGCTCAGGCGTGTAATCCCAGCACTTTGGGAGGCCGAGGTGGGCGGATCACCTGAGGTCAGGAGTTCGAAACCAGCCTGGCCAACATGGTGAAACCCTGTCTCTACTAAAATTACAAAAATTAGCTGAGCGTGGTGGCCTGTGCCTGTAGTCCCAGCTACTTGGGAGGCTGAGGCAGGAGAACAGCTTGAACCTGGGAGGTGGGGGTTGCAGTGAACCGAGATCGTGCCACTGCACTCCAGCCTGAGTAACAGACCTAGACTCTGTCTCAAAAAAAAAGAAAAGAAAAGAAAAAGGAAAATACAGAAAACCACAAAGCCAAACATAAGACCTAATGAATTATTATAAGGTACATCCTTGTAACCACTACCCAAATCAAGAAATACAACTTTGCGCCTGGGACAGTTGCTCATGCCTGTAATCCCAGCACTTTGGGAGGCTGAGGCATCGCTTGAGCCCAGGAGTTCGAACAACTGGTAAAACCTGGTCTCTACCAAAAATTAGCTGAGTGTCGTGACGCATGCCTGTAGTCCCAGCTATTTGGAAGGCTGAAGTGGGAGAATCACCTGAACCCTGGAAGTCGAGGCTGCAGTGAGCTGTGATTGCACCACTGCACTCCAGCCTGCACGTAGGAGTGAGACCCTGTCTCCAAAAAAAAAAAAAAAAGATAAGAAAAGAAATACAACTTTGTCACTTACCTCCTTACCTTAGAAGTCCTTTTTGTGTGTCCCATTCCAATCCTAACCCCCTTCTCTCTCTTTTTTTTCTGGAGACGGAGTCTTGCTCTGTTGCCCAGGTTGGAGTGGAGTGGCTCTCGGCTCACTGCAATTTCTGCCTCCCAGGTTCAAGCAGTTCTTCTGCCTCAGCCTGAGTAGCTGGGACTAAAGGTGCATGAAACTATGCCCAGCTAATTTTTCTATTTTTAGTGCAGCCGGGGTTTCACCACGTTGGCCAGGCTGGTCTCGAATTCCTGAGCTCAAGTGACCTGCCTGCATTGGCCTCCCAAGGTGCTGGGATTACAGGCTTGAGCCACTGTGCCCGACCGACTTCCCACTTTAAATAACCATTATGATAACATACCAGTATCCTGACTTTTATGGTAATCACTTTTTTGAATATTTTAATAATTTTATCACTCAGTGCTTATCCTTAGATACTATAGTTTAGTCATGCCTATTCAAAAATTTCATTTGTTTCTTAAGCTTTTTAAAAAAATGGTTAACCCTTAATTTCTTTCTTTTCCTTAAACTTTATCTGTTGAAGAACCAGAGCCAGTCGATTTGCAGTTTTCCATAGTCCAGAGTTTGCTGATTGCATAATCATGGTATAGATCATTATATTCTTCTGTTCTTTGTGTTTCCTCACAGTTGGAAGATTGATGCAGAATCCAAATCAGATTTAGGCTAGATCCCTTTACCAAGACTTCTAAGAGGTCCCATTTTGTGACATTAGCACCCTTTTACATTTAGTGCCTATTAATTAGAAATTGCAAAATGAAGATAGTCTAGTTTTATCTTTTCTTCTTATTTATTAGTTGGAATATTACTATAAATGATGACAGCCGCAGGCCATCTGGTGTGGCTGCTGCCATCATGTCAGCTGCTTCAGGGAGGGCACAGGGAGAAGGCGGACAGCCCCACACCCCCCACAGCCCACCAGCCACCCTTGGGGTCTCCACGATGGGGCTGGGCCAGGCTGGTTCCTGCACCGGCCAAGGGGGAGCTTCAGGTCGCCCCTGAGCTTTGGGGCCACAAAGGGAGCTTGCATGGCAATGTTGCCCCTGTCCTGGATGCCAGCCCAGGCCCAGTGAGGACCTGGAGCCCCCACCCTAGGCTGTGAGGGGACTTGGCCCAGTGCCATGCACCACGGAGCAGAGGGAGCTGGGGACATGCGGGAGCCCTGCCCCTTCCAAGTTGGTGGGGCTGGAGCTCCCCAGGTGCAACTGCAGCTGCCCAAGTCATGGCTGCAACCCAGGCACCCCTCTGCTCTTGGGAGCCAGGAGTAGGCAGTAGAGGGCAGGGCTGCAGCCTTCAAGTAGTGGCTGCAATCCCTGACCTGCCGCTCCACGGAGCAGGCAGGATCCCCACTCCAAACCCCTCCCCGACAGCTGCAGCCCCCCAAACCGGGGCTGCAGACCCAGGCATACCTGCACTCTTGTGGGGTCTGGGAAGGGCCCCCTTGCTGTTGCAGGCTTGGAGGTGCCTGCTCCCGCTGCCTGGCCTCTCCCCAATCTTGGAGCAAGGTTGGGGCTGGGTTGGGGCTGAGCCTAGGCGCTGTCACAGCCTGGCTGGGTGTGCCATTGCTTGGGGCAGTGCTGACGTGCCAGCCCCCTGCCACCTTGGCCCCCTCTGGACTTTGGGTGCTGAAGAGTGCGGGAGGGGAAACTGAGGGGTGGCTGAGGGTGGCCAGGCGCTGGCCTGCAGGTGCCCCTTGGTGCCAACAGCCTGGACATGATGGATGACGTGGGAGGCAGACAGGCTTCTTGGTGGAAGGGGGCGGGTTCCCAGTGAAGCCCCACCTTCAGGCTTGGGCAGGTCTGAAGCCTGGAGCTGGGCTGCCAGTCCTGCCACCAGAGGCGGAACTCATAGTGCCTTTTCCTGGGCCCACCCATGGCTTCCCATGGCTGCTCATGGACAAATCAGCATGCATTTCTCTCCTCTGAGGCCCATAAAAGCTCTGGGCTCAGCCAGGGCAGGGCAGAGTAGGAAGAGTTGACTGGCCAGTTGCAGAGAGGACCTACCCTCTTTGGGGCCACCTCTGCTGAGAGCTGTAGACATGGGGATGACCAGCTGCAGGGAGGAGCTACCCTGTCTGCTGAGAGCTGAGCACGGAGGAGTTACCCTCTCTGCAGGGCCTCCTCTCTGCTGAGAGCTGCAGATGTGGGGATGACCAGCTGCAGAGAGGAGCTACCCTCTCTGTTGAGAGCCGAGCACTTGTTGGGATGACCTGCCTACAAACCGCAGAGAGGAGCCTCCTCCCTGCTGAGAGCTGCAGAGACAATGGGAGGACCTGCTTGCAGAGAGGAGCCACCCACCTTCCTCTCAGCTGACAGCTGCACACTCAACAGGATGACCTGCCTACAAAGAGGAGCTACCCACTGTGGGTCTTCTCTGAGCTGCTCTAACACTAAACAAAGCTTCTCTTTGTCTTGCTCACCCTCCACTTGTCTGAATACTTCATTCTTCCTGGACGCAGGACAAGAGCTTGGTCAAGGGTGCCACCAGCCACAAAGGTTTCTGCCCAGAAAAGTGACATCCCAAAGATCCCAAAATACAAATAGATACTTCCTGTTTATCATCTATTTGGAAACCAGCTATACAGTTCATACTGGAAAGGTAATGCTTGGTTCTTTCCCTTCATTTACCAGTTTTCAGTATAATGAACTGGATGTCTGTCATTGTCTAAAGATACCAGCTTAAATAAAATAATTATGAGCTCATGGACTAACTATATTTCATTGGTTTCAATAAAATTTCAGTTATTTTCATATCGAAGCTCAAATTATCCCATCTTCAGCCAGTGGAAGCCTCTTCAGATAGACTCCTGAGACAGATTTTGAATTAGTTTACTTTCTACCTGGTGTTGTAAGATTCATTGTGTGCTTTTCTTCTGGAATCACTTGTTTCTCTAAGACGTTCTGGTTTCTTTTGGTGAGCAATGGCATTTCAAGACCACAATTTGAGTGCTAGAGACGCTCACTGTTATTGGGTTGATCATTATGTCTAGGCCTTTTTAGTGAACAGAGCTAGGAAAAATGAAGATAAAATAACTCATGACTTTATATTCATATTTCTAATTCAAATTCAGGACCATATAGCTTTTTAAAATTTTTTCCCTGTTACATATATATCTCCTTTCTTCCACCCTAAGAATTTGGTTTCTTAAGGACATAGGATGTGATTAAATTAATATATTCTAACATTACTGATTTTTTTCTGTATTATGCACACAGTAGTCTTAGAGTAATGTTAAAGACTACCAAAGAAATGATTACAGAAAATTATTATTGCATATGTTCTATTAATTCTCCCATTTTAACAATAAATGTACTATTTTACACTGTCATTTTAAATATATTACTCCATTTTCTTCTGGCTTAAAGCACTGCTGTGAAAGTCTGGTGATCTTTTAATTTTCTTTCTCTTTTAAGATCTTTTTTTTCTAGATCCCTAAAGATTTATTTTTTCATTAAGGTCCAGTCATTTAAATAAAATATCTTGGTGTTCGTTGTTGTGCGACAGTATTCTCTTCTACATGGTGTGTTCTTTTTGGTACCTACACTTTTTTTTAATTGAGAAAGTAATACTAGTATTTGTATTCTTCCTTTGCATTGGTTAAGAACTCTTATTATTGGTATATTGGCTCTTCTTTGCCTTTCTTCAAGGATTTTTTAAAAATCTATATTTCTAAAAAAATTAACCTGCTTTTCACTTGTTTTTCTCTTTTCTCTTTTCTCCTGCTGTTTCTTTGAAGACACTATCTGTTATGTTTCTCTTTGTGTTTTCTGGTTTGTTTTTTATTTTGGAAATGATTTTTTTTCTTTTATCTCTTACTCTCTCCTGAGTGTTGAATCTTTGGTTCTCAGTTTTGCTTATTCTTATGTGTGTTCTTTTATGTCTTACATGACTTTCTTAATGTCTTTAGCTTGTTTTGAAATCATAGTTTACAGTTTTGATCTGTTTTGTTTGCACATTTTCCTGAGTGCTTACATTGTCTATAGGGATTTATTCTGCTTATTTTTTTTCTTGTAATAACTTTGTATAGGATTTGATCTTGATACTTTTGGTCATTTTTATATGAAATTGGCTTTCATAAACTTGCAGAATGTGGTGGAAATATTTTCTTGACTTCACAGAGCTCCTGCTTTTGTTTTTATGTAGTGTTCAAAAGATGAGGACCTGCTTTTTGATATTTCTTGGATCTCTTACCTTCCTTGGCTTGGTGTGGACCTTTTCTTTCTTCTGTTCTATTCTGCTCAGGTTTGATTCTTCCCAGTTTCTTCTCAGTGTGGGGAGCTCAGGCTTGATTCTTCTCAGTTTCTTCTCAGTGTGGGGCTTATTATAGAAGAGAGCCCTGGTGGGTCAGTTTCAAAAGCTTAAAGCTCAGAGGGACTAAATTGTTCCAACCCTTTCAGAACTTCTTATCATGGGCTCTTTGTCTTATCTGGTATTAGAGATGCCAGAACCTCTGTCAGTTGTAGCATTTGTGTGTGTGTGTGTGTATATTTCCAAATGAGTCTGCTCTGCTTTCCAGTGAATACCCGTTAGCTATTTTGGTATGATTTTGGTCTTAAGTTCATCAGTTGCCACCTTGTTGCTTTCTTCTTTCTGCCAAGTAGTACAGTGTTGTGGGTGTTAGTGATTTTTCTCTACCCACTTGCATTTTGGGGTTTGAGGGGATACCTTGTCACATAGTTTTGTTGTAAGTACAGTTGACCCTTGAACAACATGAATTTGAACTGTGTGAATCCACTTATGTGCAGATTTTCTTCTGCCTCTGCCACCCCTGAGATAGCAAGACCAATCCCTCCTCCTCGTCAGCCTACTCTTTGTGAAGATGAAGAAGAATGGAGACTTTCATGATGATCCACTTCCACTTAATGAATAATAAATACATTATCTCTTCCTTAACATTTTCTTAAACATTTTCTGTGGCTTAATTATAAGAATACATCAGGGACAGGTAGGTGACAGTGAAAAAATTATGTAATACATATGACATAAAAAAATCTGTTAATCACCTGTTCATAGTATTGGTGAGGCTTGTGGTCAACAGTAAGGTATTAATAGTCAGATTTTGGAGAGTCAGAAGTTATATGTGGTGTTTTGATTGCATAGGGGTTGGCATCCCTAACCCCCATGTTGTTGAAGAGTCAACTATTGTGCGTGGGATTTTGGTTTTCCTGTCTTGTTTCTCTGTATGTTTTTATGGGAATTTGAAGAGTATCAGAATGTATGCAGCCACTACCATCTTCTCAGAACCCTTACCATTAGTTTTTATGTCACTTCTATGGTCTCCTCCCATTCCATCTCTTTTCTTCCGCCTTCAGAAGTAACCATTATCTTCAACTTCATGATGCCCAGAGAAATAACTAGAAGCAATAAAAATGCTCATCCACAGAAGAAAAAATATGGATATTAATATAATGGCATTATCTAATAGAGTTTAAGAATCACTTTCCTAAAATAAATCTTTAAGCATATAACAAGAGAAAATGTTGCTTATGTACAGATATGTGCAAGAATGTTTTTAAAACACTATTTATAATAGGGAAAACTGGGAACAACTCTCTGTCAGCAGAGAAATGATGGATAAATTATGGCATATTAATTCTGTTACGGTAAATACTGGTGAAAATTAGTAATTATAACCACACACAATAAGAATAAATCTCAGGAATAGAGCTTAAACAGAAAAATACATATGATTCTATTTATAAAACCTTTAACAACTATATTGTTTATGGATATAAACATATGCTAAAACTACATAAAAAAGCTAAGATTTGTATTCAACATTATGTTACTAAGATTCATCTGTTTGTTTGTATGTAGCTGTAGAACATAACTTCCCCCTGCTGTATAGTCCATTATATTAATATCTATATTTTATTCTTTTGTTGATGGCAGTTTTCTTGGTTCTAGGTGTTTAGTTAGGCATTACAAAACAACAATAATAGCAATTACATAGCATTTACTGTGTCCCAGTTTTCTAAGTGTTTTGCTTATGTTATCTCACTTAAACCTGACAAGAACCCTGAGACGTAGGTATTATTTTATTCAATTACGTGTTAAAAAGCATGTAATTGAGGCATGGAGAGGTTAATAACTTGCCTAAGGTGTCACAGTTACTGAGTAGTTGAAGCTGGGATTCCAACCTGGCGCAGCTAGTCCTTTAATCTGTACTTACACAGTATATTGGTTTGTACTCTGGAAACAGGAATGTTACCTTTGTCTTCAGAGATCCTTAAATATAAAAAAATTATGGCTTAAAGACATAGTGTATTTTACTATTTTCTTTTTCAAAGTTTTCATATTTAGAACAAATTTGTAATCTTTGCTTCATTTGAGGTTTTTTTTTTTTTTTAGATGGGGTCTTGCTCTTGTTGCCTAGGCTGGAGTGCAATGGCACGATCTCAGCTCACTGCAACCTCCGCCTCCTGGGTTCAAGTGATTCTCCTGCCTCAGCCTCCCAAGTAGCTGGGATTATAGGCGCCCGCCACCATGCTGGCTAATTTTTGTGTTTTTTAGTAGAGATGGGGTTTCTCCATGTTTTGTCAGGCTAATCTTGAAGTCTTCACCTCGTGATCCTCCCGCCTTGGCCTCCCAAAGTGCTGGGATTACAGGCATGAGCCACCGTGCCCTGCCCATTTGATTTTAATTTGAGAGATAAAATGATGTTAGAAATGTTTTTAAACAAGCAAGCAAGGTAATCTTTAGTACAGTAGCTCATAGTGTATACATCTGGAAATTAGCACCATCTACTGGCAAAGAGAAACAATAACTTGGTATGTCATAGTATTGTGTACACTTTCATAGGTTTTATTTGTTTTGAAAAGCTGTTCCCGGGGGAAATAAATATTTTATAATTTTTTAGTATGTTTATTTTTGTTTCCTATATATTTTTCTTAAAATTCCAAGTATCAATTACTTATATATGGCACATTTGTGTAACCGAGACTACATTTAGATGAGGAAAAATACAACAAAAGGTATCATTTTATAGTTGTCATTCTGTCTGTATTTTTCAAAGCATGTACAAAAAATTTTCAATTTGTTGGAGTGATAAGAGCAAGAACAAAGCTGTCATACTGGACTAACATGAACTGTATTTAGTTTATCATTGTGTTTTGTCTTAGTTAAGTGATACTGTCTTCGATAGAGGAGTGGAATTGATAGTAGAGTGAAAACAGAGTTCTCAATGACTAAGCCTGGGAAGCTTCTCTCTGCCTAACTTTTTGTATATACCTAAATTCTACTCTCACTTTTTCTTAAACTGGTTGAGATTTCATTTGTTTGTGGCCTAGGGTCTTGTTTGTATCCCGTTTGAGACGTTTATTCTTTCGTTATTTTTTCTCTCCATTAACTTAACCTATAGTTAAATGTATGAGAAGTCAGTTGTTTTCTCATTCCACTTCCTCTCTCATTTTGTGATATGTTTTCTTTAGGCACTTTACAAGTTAAAGTTACCTTGGATATGATAATTTTAGTTAAAGGTGAAATTATGTTTACAGAAGGGTTACAAGGTTATTACCTAATAAGTGTTGGTTGAGGGATTTATTAAAAGAATTTTAAAGGCTAATTTGTTATAGAGCAGGAATGGTTGTTGAGTGTGCCATTGGTCTGATATGTTTACTTGTAAGTCTACTGAGCACAATAAACAATTGTTCTTTTGCCCTGTGGCTACTTAACTCTCAAATGAAAACAGTTTTTTTGTTTAAAATGTTAACTTATTGTAGGTGTGCTTTAGAAAGATCTGATTAAATAGAAGAGTTGCAATAATTGCAAATTTTTTAATGTCTTATACTATAATGTCACATAGTTGAATACCGAAGTCCAAGATTGCTATTGTAATAGTATAGGTTTTTAACTCACGTTAAAGTTAGGCTTAGTGTAAGGAATGAAAATGGGTCATTTATAACATTCTTTTGGTTGTTTTTCTGAATATTTTACTTTTGGGTGCTCATTACTGCTAAGGTGAAAACAAATCCCCCTTTCTTAATGTAATCTATAATAGATATAAAAATACATTTAAAAATTAAGTGTGTATACTTTTCCCCCATTACCTAACCAACTTCTTAGAAATTAGTTCTATATTCAAAGAGAGAACTATACAGACTTTCAAATTTTCTATGAATGTGTAAAAATTTTAAATCATACTAGTTGTTTTTAAAAATCTTATAGAACATGTACAATTTTAAAGCCATACAAATGGTCTTCAGAAATCTTTTTACTACTCTCAGATAGTTTATTCTTTTTTCTCAAACTCTTTAATTATCAACTAATGCTTTGATTTGCTGTATTTTGGATTTTGAATCCAGATTGACTGCTAATAAATGATTTAATTCAGGGCTACTTTTCATCATGCTGAGTTTTAGGTTAGAGGGTAACAAGATGAATGATTTCTGTCATCTAAGAACTATTGTAGTTCATTATGAGCATTATAGCCTTTATTTTATATTATAAAGAATAATGTATAAAGAGCTATTTTTAGGCATAGGAACCAATTGGTTTAGTTTTACAGAGCCATCAGAATGTAGTCTGAGCTGAGATGTTAAAATAAAATAAGAATCCCAAAGTCAATGACTATGGTAATATTTGAGTGGCACCTTGAAGAGTAGGAAGGAATTGGTAAGTGGAGATGAAGAAGAAAGGGTGCTTTAGGCTAAACAGACTATTGTATCTTTTTATTTAGTCGCTGAAGCAGTATTTTGGCAAACATTTCATATTTCATGAACATTGAAGAATTCTGACTTTATAAATCGTGAATTGCAATAAGATTAATAGCTTCTTTTAAAAGAGATATGATATTCTTTCATGCCATGTCTTTTATTTACCCCGTTAGAAAGAAGATATGTTCTACTTTAAGCACAAAATTGTCAGCCAGAGTATTTGGAGAATGGAGAGAAAAAAGCAGTATGTTTTCCAATAGATCTTACTGCTAGTATTCGAATAGATGCTTAGAACAAATGAAGTTTAAAAAAATAATTTACCATAGATGGGATGAATTATTTTTAATCACAGTTTAATTTGGTTAAAACTTAAGCTTAGTGAACTAAATTAAAGAACAGCTTCATATTCTTTCAGCTGTATAGAAATGTGTTTTTCCTTAATACAAATCTGCCTCCTTGTGAGCCGTCATGTACCTTTGTATAGATTGTAGTTTATGTCCTGCACAGTGGGGCACAGGTGAATATGTTATTTGAGATTGAAATGTAGCCCTTGCTTTTACCAAAGGACCCTTTCTCTAATTCATTTTCCCAGAGGACAAAGACACTGTGTAGGAGTTCCTACCCCTGGAAATGATTATACATTTGTTTTGTTACTGGATTCAGCACTTAGCTTCTAGAACAATATAGGCACAAATTAAGAGCTCACTAAATATTTCATATATCTATAAAGTATTCAGAAGTCCACAGTTTACATTCTTCTCTGATCATGACTTTTTGGCAGATGACATATGTTTCATGTGATTTAAAAAATTGCCTCCCTACCCAAGTTGTGCTTTTATTGAAATCAAGTTAAATGTTTATATGGAAAATTCCATTTGTTGTGTTTTGCCAAATTGTTGTTGCTGTTAGGTTAGATTTTAATTTCTGTTCTTCTGATTCCATTAATATATTAAAATGTTTACATTTCATTTTCAGGTATATTACATTTTTTTGCCCGCATGACCTAGTTTCCCAGGGCTATTCATATCTACCTGTTCAACTACTGGCTTCGGGAATGAAGGAAGTGACCAGAACTTGGAAAATAGTAGGTGGAGTCACACATGCTAATAGCTATTACAAAAATGGCTGGATAGTCATGATAGCTATTGGATGGGCCCGAGGTAATATTGACAATATGTGTTCATAAATATTCTGTTGTTGGTGTATTATTAATACCATTACTGAACAATTCTCTAGTTACATTAATGGATCACATACTTTAATAACAGAGACTTTTTGGAAGGTAAAAACCTTGTTTCTGTTGGCTGGTAAAGTTAATTCAAAACTAGTACTAGTCCTAAGCCATTATTTTGAGCCTGAGTGTCTTATGATAGAAAATTTTTATGATTGGTTTGATTAAGATCCCCAGAACCAGAAAGATTTATAGTTAATTAAGGTATAGTGCCTCTGTAAATAAAATAAGTTTACATAAGAAATTATGTGGTACATATGAATAAAAAATATTGCTCTGTCTTTTCTGTGTTTTTTTCATTCAGAATTACTAGAAATAATAAATATGATTGACTATGGGTTCATGATCATTGAACTTTACATCACTTGCCTTTTTGTTTTGCATGTAGGAATTGAACAAATCTCTGTAACCTCTTTTTACAGTATACTGCACCTGAAACCGGTCGTATCAGGAAAGGAAATGATAAAGCAGAGGATTTTATTTTTCAGTTCTGAAACAAACTTCTAACCATATCTTTGTGCCCGAGGCCCCAGTTTTAACAGTTGACATGCTGGTGAAAGGGAAGAATTGCAGTTGTTTTAGTACCCTAAATGTACAAGGCAACTTTTTTCTTCTTTCCAAGAATTATATTTTGGGAATCCTCTTGGAATGTATTATCAGGTGATAGAATTATGGCTCCCTTTAAATATGTTTTACAGGAAAATTTGGCCAAATATTCTTGTTTTATTTTCATATTTTTAGGTGCAGGTGGTACCATTATAACGAATTTTGAGAGGTTGGTAAAAGGAGATTGGAAACCAGAAGGTGATGAATGGCTGAAGATGTCATAGTAAGTTGGTATAAATTATACTGAGACCTAGATGTTTATCCTTAGATCTTACCAAATTCCTTTTTAAGAACATTTTAGGGACTTTAAATGTGGGTGGAATATAGCTGAAAATATAAATAGTAATGATAATGGGAAGAGAACTAGCAAATTTTGTTCTTTTAAAAAGTCTGCTTTCTCAAATGTAGTTTAAAATATATATTTTCCTTCTCTGTGGGTTTCTCTCCTTAGAAAACAAAATCAAACAAAAACCTCTAGATTATAGTAGAATTGTGGGAAAAGTATATATTTATAAAGTGAAAGCTACGTAGGAATAGACTTCTCTGGATGAAAATGAATCGGTGATAGGCTCTTGGCATTTTCATTAATGACTATGACATCATCCAGATTTCAGGCTATATATGTAGTTCTGATAGTAAAATGTTAAGTTTATGGGATCAAATCAATACATTATCATAAAGTGCTTTGAGTTGCTTTAAAAAATGTCAGTTGAGCTTAATTACAGATTAAAATAAGAGAAAGATTAGAGAAATAACCCATTGTGTGATACAAACTGCCTTTTGCATCTATTTAAGATAATCTGTTCTCTGAAGACACTGACTTAGTCTTATTTATTACTTTTTTAAAGAGACAGATTCTGTTGTTCAGGCTTTAGTGCGATGGTGTAGTCATAGCTCACTGCAGCCTAGACCTCTTAGGCTCAAGTAATCCTCCCACTTCAGCCTCCCAAGTATTAATAGTTGGGACTACAGGTGTGTGCTATCATGCCTGGCTAATTTTTGTAATTGTATTTTTTTTTTTTTTTTGAGACAGGGTTTTATTCTGTCACCCAGGCTAGAGTGCAGTCACTGCAGTCTTGATCTCTTGGGCTCAAGTGATCCTTCCACCTCAGCCTCCTGAGTAGTTGTGACTACAGGCATCTGCCATCATGCCCTGCTACTTTTAAAAATTTTTGTAGAGACAGGGTCTCATCTCAGTATGTTGCCTTGGCTGGTCTTGAATTCCTGGGCTCAAGCGATCCTTGTACTTTGGCCTCCAAAAGTGCTGGGATTACAGATGTGAAGCACCACACCCAGCCAGTATTTTTATTTTTGTAGAGATGGGGTCTTGCTGTGTTGCCCAGGCTGGTCTTAACTTTTGCCTCAAGTGATCTTCCTTCCTTAGCCTCCCAAGGGGCAGGGATTACAGGCATGAGCCACTGTGCCTGGCCGAACTCAGTCTTTATTTTGTTTTGAGTCAGAGTTTCGCTGTTGTCACCCAGACCAGAGTGCAATGGTGTGGTCTCGGGCTCACTGCAACCTCCGCCTCCCAGGTTCAAGCAGTTCTCCTGCCTCAGCCTCCTAAGTACCTGGGATTTTGGGCGTGTGCCACCATGCCCAGCTAATTTTTGTATTTTTAGTTGAGATGTGGTTTCACCATGTTGGCCAGGCTGGCCTCAAACTCCTGACCTCAGGTGATCCACCCACCTTGGCCTCCCAAAGTGCTGGGATTACAGGCTTGAGCCACTGTGCCTGGCCCAGACTCAGTCTTAAATAAGTCACAGATACGTTTCTCATGTACCTAAAAATGAGGTAGAGAAGTATAGTTACTGTTCCCATAATTCAAGAAGGAAAAGACTTAGAGAATGGTGGCTGTAATAAGCAAGGTGAGGAAAGACTTCATGTAAAAATAAGCTCATTTTCTAATTTAAATTGGATTAAAAATAGATTATAATGGATTGAAAATGAAGGTTGAGGCTGGGCACGGTGGCGTATGCCTGTAATCCTAGCACTTTGGGAGGCCGAGGCAGGCGTCAGGAGTTCGACACGAGCCTGGGCAACATGGTGAAACCCCGTCTCTACTAAAAATACAAAAACTAACTGGGCGTGATGGCATATACCTATAATCCCAGCTACTCAGGAGGCTGAGGCAGGAGAATCACTTGAACCTGGGAGGCAGAAGTTGCAATGAGCTGAGATCGCACCACTGCACTCCAGCCTGGGTGACAGAGGTGAGACTCTGTCTCAAAAAAAAAAAAAAGAAGAAGGTGGAAAGGCAGTACAAGTGATGAAGTACATTTGTGTGAACTAACAAATTTCGGGATATTTAACTTGAAAAATACCCCTTTAAGTTTGAATGAAGTAGTTTAGAAATAGAACAAAGGAAGCTTTGATTAACGATAAGTTATAAATAAGATACTCTTGATATTCAGGGGAGATTTTTCTCATTTTGAGTATATGCCTTGAAACACCTTCCATAAAACATTTTTTTGGGCTTTTATAACCAAAATCAAATTATGTTTCTACTTTGTTCAGAAACCTTGCATTGATTCCTCCAAACGGCCTATAAGTCCCTCCAAATGTGCCTTTCCTCCTTTCCAGTTTGCTTTGATTTCATCTCTTGTTATTATTTCCCTTGCTCACTCTACTCCATGCTTGAGCAAGTCAAGTATGGTCTAGTTTAGCACTAGCTTTTGTCACTACCTAGAACGATTTTTCTTAGATGGCTAACTCCCTTATTTACTTTGCTCAAAGTATTTTCTCAATGCTTCCTTCTCAGTGAGGACTAACCTGCTTAAAATTGCAACACCTCGTTCTATTTTACTTTTTTTACAACATTTATCACCTTCTAACATGTTATGTAATTTACTTAATCATTATGTTTATTCTCCCCTCCCCTTGGCTCCTCCTCCCACCCTTCAACGAATATAAAATGCTAGGGACAGATATTTTTGTCTCTTTTGAATGCTCTTGTGTCCCAAGCACCTAGCACATAGTAGATAATACATACTAGATGACTGTATGAATTATCAACAACTGGGTCAAGTGAGATAGATCACTGGTTCATTATGATGGTTTGTGTTTATGTATATAGTCATGTGTTGCTTAACGATGGGGATATGTTCTCAGAAATGTGTCATTTCATCATTATGTGAATGTTATCAAGTATACTTACACAAACCTAGATGGTATAGTCTACTACACACCTAGGCTATATGGTATAGCCCATTTCTGTTAGGCTACAAACCTTTACAGCATGTTACTGTAGTGACTACTATAGGCAATTTTAACGTAGTAGTAGGTATTTGTGTATCTAAACATACCTAAAGAGAAAAGATGTGGTAAAAATATGGTCTGAAAGATAAAAAATGATACACTTGTATAGGGTACTTAGCAAGAATGAAGGTGGCAGGACTGGAAGTTGCTCTCTGTGAGCCACTGAGCAAATGGTAAGTGAAGACCTAGGACATTAGTGTGCACTACTGTAGACTTTATAAACACTGTACACTGAGGCAACACTAAATGTATAGAAAAAATTGTTCTTTAATAATAAATTAACCTTAGCTTACTGTAACTTTTTTCTTTTTTAAAAAATTTCCCTTTACTTATTTTTAAAAATTTTTAAGTATTATGGGTACATAATAGTACATATTTATGGGGTACATGTGATATTTTGAACCAGGCATGCAGTGTGTAGCGACATCAAGGTAATTGGGATATCCATCACTTCAAGCATTTATCATTTCTTTGTATTAGGAACATTCTAATTCTACTCTTTTAGTTATTTTGAAATGTACAATAAATTATTGTTAACTATATTGTACTACTATGCTACCAAATACTAGATCTTATTCCTTCTAACTGTAATATTTTTACTTGATAAACTTTAAATTTTTAAAAACTTTTTGAAGCTTTCGTAGTAACACTTAGCTTAAACACAAACATTATACAGTTGTATAAAAATATTTTCTTTGTATTCTTATTCTATAAGTGTTTTTCTGTTTTTAAGATTTGTTTTTTACTTTTTAAACTTTTTTTGTTAAAAATGAAGACATAAACACACACATTAGCCTCGGCCTACCCAGGGTCAGGATCATCAATATCATCATCTTCCACCTCCACATCTTGTCCCACTTGAAGGTCTTAGGGGCAATAATGCACATGGAGCTTTCATCTCCTATAATAACAGTGCCTTCTTCTGGAATATTTCCTGAAGGATCTGACTGAGGCTGTTTTACAGTTCACTTAAAAAATAAATAAATAAATAATAGAAAGAGGCCAGCTGCAGTGGCTCATGTCTGTAATCCTAGTACTATGGGAGGCTGTTGCAATCTCTATCTTTTAATTGGAGGGCTTGGTCCAATTAATTTGTAACTTGGGGTGATAAAATATATGAGTATATATAAATTGTATTAAAATAACATAATTATTGATATGGTTGCATTTAGGTCTATGATTTTATTATTTATTGTTTCCTCTAGTCCTTTTTTTTGCCTTCTGTTGAATCCAAGAGAGTATTTGTAGGAATTCCATTTTAATTTACTTGTTGGCTTATTAGCTATACCTCCTTGAATTATTATTTTTACTGGTTGTACTAGCAATTATATCTTCAATTTTTCATAGACTACTGAGAACATTATACTGCTTCATATTCATCATCTCACATAGTTTCTTATTTTGTGTGTGTGCAGCAGGAGCAGCCACAGTCTACCCATTTAACAAAAATCCTGAATACATTACACTATAATTAGCTATCGTCCTTGTGTTATACATTAGATCTTTAGACTTGTTCATCCTACATGTGTGCTTCTTTGTATCCACTGACCTATATTTCACATTTCCTCCCCCGACCCTGCCCACTGGTAATTGCTGTTGTATTCTCTGTCCTTGTATATTTGACTTTTTTTCCCCGAGATCCCATGTGAGATCATGCAGTAATTTTCTTTCTGTGTCTGATTTATTTCATTCAGCATAATGTCCTCTAGATTCATCCATGTTGTAGCAAATGGCAAGATCTCCCTTTATAAGGCTAAATAGTATTCCATTGCATATACAAGGTGACTATCTCTTATTTGAAGTGGTTGGGACCAGAAGTGTTGTGGATTTCAGATATTTTTGGATTTTGGAATATTTGTATTATATACTTACTTGGTTGAGCATCCCAAATTCAAAAACCTGAAGACCAAAATGTTCCAATGAGCCTTTCTTTTGATCATGTTGGTACTCCAAAAGTTTAGTATTTTAGAAGATTTAGAATTTCAGATTTTTGGATTAGGGATGCTCAACCTGTATATATCACAGTTTCTTTATCCATTCATCTGTTGATATGGTTTGGGTGTTTGTCCCCTCCAGTTCATGTTGAAATGTGATTCCCAATGTTGGAGGTGGGGACTGGTGGGAGGTGATTGGATCATGGGGGTGGATCCCTCATGAATTATTTATTACCATCCTCTTGTGATAAGTGAGTTCTTGTTCACTGAGTTCACACAAGATCTGGTTGTTTGAAAGTCTGGTTCCTTTCCCTCCTCGTTCTCTTGTTCCCAGTCTCACCATGTGATGTCCTCCCTTTTTGCCTTCTGCCATGATTGTAAGTTTCCTGAGGCTCTCACTAGAAGCTGGGCAGATTTTGGTGCCACTCTTGTACCTCCTGCAGAACTGTGAGCCAATTAAGCCACTTTTCTTTATAAATTACCAAGCCTCATGTATTTCTTTTTTAAAAATCATTATTATTATACTTTAAGTTCTAGGGTACATGTGTACAACGTGCAGGTTTGTTACATAGGTATACATGTGCCGTGTTGGTTTGCTGTACCTATCAACTCGTCATTTACATTAGGTATTTCTCCTAACACTATCTCTCTCCCAGCCCCCCAGCCCCCAACAAGCCCCCGTGTTTGATGTTCCCCTCTCTGTGTCCATGTGTTCTCATTATTCAACTTCCACTTATGAGTGAGAACATGCGGTGTTTGGTTTTCTGTTGTTGTGATGGTTTGCTGAGAATGATGATTTACAGCTTCATCCGTGTCCCTGTAAAGGACATGAACTCATCCTTTTTTATGGCTGCATAATATTCCATGGTGTATATGTGCCACATTTTATCCAGGTTATTATTGATGGACATTTTGGTTGGTTCCAAGTCTTTGCTATTATGAATAGTGCCGCAGTAAACATACGTGTGCATGTGTCTTTACAGCAGCATGATTTATAATCCTTTGGGTATATACCCAGTAATGGGATGACTGGGTCAAATGGTATTTCTAGTTCTAGATCCTTGAGGAATCACCACTGTCTTCCACAATGGTTGAACTAATTTACACTCCCACCAACAGTGTTCCTATTTCTCCACATCCTCTCCAGCATCTGTTGTTTCTTGACTTTTTAATGATCGCCCTTCTGACTGGCGTGAGATGGTATCTCATTGTGGTTTTGATTTGCATTTCTCTCATGACCAGTGATAATGAACATTTTTTCATATGTCTGTTGGCTGCATTAATGTCTTCTTTTGAGAAGGGTCTGTTCATATCCTTTGCCCACTTTTTGATGGAGTTGTTTGATTTTTTTCTTGTAAATTTGTTTAAGTTCTTTGTAGATTCTGGATATTAGCACTTTGTCAGATGAGTAGATTGCAAAAATTTTCTCCCGTTCTGTAGGTTGCCTGTTCACTCTGATGGTAGTTGCTTTTGCTGTGCAGAAGCTCTTTAGTTTAATTAGATCCCATTTGTCAATTTTGGCTTTTGTTGCCATTGCTTTTGGTGTTTTAGTCATGAAGTCTTTGCCCATGCCTATGTCCTGAATGGCATTGCCTAGGTTTTCTTCCAGGGATTTTATGGTTTTAGGTCTAACATTTCAGTCTTTAATCCATCTTGAATTAATTTTTGTATAAGGTGTAAGGAAGGGATCCGGTTTCAGCTTTCTACATATGGCTAGTCAGTTTTCCCAGCACCATTTATTAAATAGGGAATCCTTTCTCCATTGCTTGTTTTTCTCAGGTTTGTCAAAGATCAGATGGTTGTAGCTGTGTAGTGTTATCTCTAAGGTCTCTGTTCTGTTCCATTGGTCTACATCTCTGTTTTGGTACCAGTACCATGCTATTTTGGTTACTGTAGCCTTGTAGTATAGTTTGAAGTCAGGTAGCGTGATGCCTCCAGCTTTGTTCTTTTTGCTTAGGGTTTTCTTGGCTCTGCAGGCTCTTTTTTGTTTCCATATAAACTTTAAAGTAGTTTTTTCCAATTCTGTGAAGAAAGTCATTGGTAGCTTGATGGGGATGTCATTGACTCTATAAATTACCTTGGGCAGTATGGCCATTTTCACAATATTGATTCTTCCTACCCATGAGCAAGGAATGTTCTTTCATTTGTTTGTGTCCTCTTTTATTTTGTTGAGCAGTGGTTTGTAGTTCTCCTTGAAGAGGTCCTTCACATCCCTTGTAAGTTGGATTCCTAGGTATTTTATTCTCTTTGTAGTAATTGTGAATGGGAGTTCACTCATGATTTGGCTCTCGGTCTGTTCTTGGTGTACAGGAATGCTTGTGATTTTTGCACATTGATTTTGTATCCTGAAAATTTGCTGAAGTTGCTTATCAGTTTAAGGAGATTTTAGGCTGAGACGATGGGGTTTTCTAAATATACAATCATGTCATCTGAAAACAGAGACAATTTGAATTCCTCTCTTCCTATTTGAATACGCTTTATTTCTTTCTCTTTCCTTTTTGCCCTGGCCAGACCTTCCAATACTATGTTGAATAGGAGTGGTGAGAGAGGGCATCCTTGTCTTGTGCCGGTTTTCAAAGGGAATGCGTCCAGTTTTTGCCCATTCAGTATGATACTGGCTGTGGGTTTGTCATAAATAGCTCTTATTATTTTGAGATACGTTTCAGCAATACCTAGTTTATTGAGAGTTTTTAGCATGAAAGGCTGTTGAATTTTTTTGAAGGCCTTTTCTGCATCTATTGAGATAATCATGTGGTTTTTTCGTTGGTCCTGTTTGGATTACGTTTATTGATTTGCGTATGTTGAACCAGCCTTGCATCCCAAGGATGAAGCCAACTTGATCGTGGTGGATAAACTTTTTGATGTGCTGCTGGATTTGGTTTGCCAGTATTTTATTGAGGATTTTTCCATCCATGTTCATCAGGGATATTGGCCTAAAATTCTCTTTATTCGTTGTTGCCAGGCTTTGGTATCAGGATGATGCTGGCCTCATAAAATGAGTTAGGGAGGATTCCCTCTTTTTCTGTTGATTAGAATAGTTTCAGAAGGAATGGTACTAGCTCCTCTTTATACCTCCTGTAGAATTTGGCTGTGAATCCATCTGGTCCTGGACTTTTTTTGGTTGGTAAGCTATTAATTATTGCCTCAATTTCAGAGCCTGTTATTGGTCTATTCAGAGATTCAACTTCTTCCTGGTTTAGTCTTGGGAGGGTGTATGTGTCCAGGAATTTATCCATTTCTGCTAGATTTTCTAGTTTATTTGAGTAGAGGTGTTTATAGTATTCTCTGATGGTAATTTGTATTTCTGTGGGATCGGTGTTGGTATCCCCTTTATCATTTTTTATTGCGTCTATTTGATTCTTCTCTCTTTTCTTCTTTATTAGTCTTGCTAGCCATCTATCTATTTTGTTATCTTTTCAAAAAACCAGCTCCTGGATTCATTGATTTTTTGAAGGGTTTTTTGTGTCTCTATCTCCTTCAGTTCTGCATTGATCTTAGTTATTTCTTGCCTTCTGCTAGCTTTTGAATGTGTTTGCTCTTGCTTCTCTAATTCTTTTAATTGTGATCTTAGGGTGTTGATTTTAGGTCTTTCCTGCTTTCTCTTGTGGGCATTTAGTGCTATAAATTTCCCTCTACACACCACTTTAAATGTGCCCCAGAGATTCTGGTACGTTGTAGCTTTGTTCTCATTGGTTTCAAAGAACATCTTTATTATTATTATTATTATTATTATTATACTTTAAGTTCTAGGGTACATGCGCACAAAGTGCAGGTTTGTTACATATGTATACATGTGTCATGTTGGTGTGCTGCACCCATTAACTCGTCATTTATATTAGGTATTTCTCTTAATGCTATCCCTTCCCCCTCCCTCTCACCCCACGACAGGCCCTGGTCTGTGAGGTTCCCCACCCTGTGTCCAAGTGTTCTCATTGTTCAACTTCCACTTATGAGTGAGAACATGTAGTGTTTGGTTTTCTGTCCTTGTGATAGTTTGCTCAGGATGATGGTTTCTAGCTTCATCCATGGCCCTACAAAGGACATGAACTCATCCTTTTTTATGGCTGCATAGTATTCCATGGTGTATATGTGCCACATTTTCTTAATCCAGTCTATCATTGTTGGATATTTGGGTTGGTTCCAAGTCTTTGCTATTGTGATTAGTGCAGCAATAAACATACGTGTGTATGTGTCTTTATAGCAGCATGATTTATAATCCTTTAGGTATATACCCAGTAATGGGATCGCTGGGTTAAATGGTATTTCTAGTTCTAGATCCCTGAGGAATCGCCACACTGTCTTCCACAATGGTTGAACTAGTTTACAGTCCCACCAACAGTGTAAAAGTGTTCCTATTTCTCCACATCCTCTCCAGCACCTGTTGTTTCCTGACTTTTTAATGATCACCATTCTAACTGGCATGAGATGGTATCTCATTGTGTTTTTGATTTGCATTTCTCTCATGACCAGTAGTGATGAGCATTTTTTCATATGTCTGTTGGCTGCAAAAAAGTCTTCTTTTGAGAAGTGTCTGTTCATATCCTTCACCCACTTTTCGATGGGGTTGTTTGATTTTTTTCTTGTAAATTTGTTTAAGTTCTTTGTAGATTCTGGATATTAGCACTTTGTCAGATGGGTAGATTGCAAAAATTTTCTCCCATTCTGTAGGTTGCCTGTTCACTCTGATGGTAGTTTCTTTTGCTGTGCAGAAGCTCTTGAGTTTAATTAGATCCCATTTGTCAATTTTGGCTTTTGTTGCCATTGCTTTTGGTGTTTTAGTCATGAAGTCTTTGCCCATGCCTTTGTCCTGAATGGTATTGCCTAGGTTTTCTTCCAGGGATTTTATGGTTTTAGGTCTAACATTTCAGTCTTTAATCCATCTTGAATTAATTTTTGTATAAGGTGTAAGGAAGGGATGCAGTTTCTGTTTTCTACATGTGGCTAGCCAGTTTTCCCAGCACCATTTATTAAATAGGGAATCCTTTCCCCATTTCTTGTTTTTCTCAGATTTGTCAAAGATCAGATGGTTTTATATGTGTGGTGTTATTTCTGAGGCCTCTGTTCTGTTCCATTGGTCTGTATCTCTGTTTTGGTACCAGTACCATGCTATTTTGGTTACTGTAGCCTTGTAGTATAGTTTGAAGTCAGGTAGCGTGATGCCTCCAGCTTTGTTCTTTTTGCTTAGGATTGTCTTGGCAGCGTGGGCTCTTTTTTGGTTTTGTATGAACTTTAAAACAGTTTTTTTGAATTCTGTGGAGAAAGTCATTGGTAGGTTGATGGGGATGACACTGAATCTATAAATTACCTTGGACAGTATGGCCATTTTCACAATATTGATTCTTCCTGTCCATGAGCATGGAATGTTCAAAGAACATCTTCATTTCTGCCTTCATTTCGTTATTTACCCAGTAGTCATTCAGGAGCAGATTGTTCAGTTTCCATGTAGTTGTGCGGTTTTGAGTGAGTTTCTTAATCCTGAGTTCCAATTTGATTGTACTGTGGTCTGAGAGACAGTTTGTTGTGATTTCTGTCCTTTTGTATTTGCTGAGAAGTGTTTTGCTTCCAGTTATGTGGTCAATTTTAGAATAAGTGCGATGTGGTGCTGAGAAGAATGTATATTCTGTTGATTTGGGGTGGAGAGTTCTGTAGCTATCTATTAGGTCTGCTCAGCTCTGGGCCTCATGTATTTCTTTATAGCAACACAAACAGCCATCTCTTGATGGACACCTAGGTGGTTCTCCATCTTGGCTATTTGAATTTGGTTTACTGATATGGTATTGAGGTTTTTTACATCAATTTTCATGAGAGATATTGGCTTGCAGTTTTCTTTTTTCTTTTTTTTTTTTTTTGCGGTGTCTTTGTCTGTATTAGGCATGAGCTGATGATGGCCTCTGAAAGTGTGTTAGGCATATTCCCTCTAGCTGTGTTTCCTTGGAAGAGTTTAAGAAATATTGGTATTAATTCTGTTTTGAAAGTTGGTAGAATTCAGCTGTGAAGCCATCTAGTTCTGGGCTTTTTATTCCCTTGGGAGACTTTAAGTTTATATTCCAGTCTCTTTGTTTGTTATTGACCTGTGCAGGCTTTGTACTTCTTCCTGATTTAATCTTGGTTGGTTATTTTTTTAAGGAATTTATTCACTTACTCTAGGTTATCCAGTTTGTTGGCATATAATTGTTCATAGTAGTTGCTTATTATTCTTTTTATTTCTGTGGTGTCTGTTGTAATGTCTCTACTTTTGTTTCTGATTTTATTTAAGTCTTCTATCTTTTTTGCTGAGCGTAGCTAAGCATTTGTCAATTTCGTTTAGATTTTCAAAAAACCAACTCAGTTTGATTGATTTTTTTCCCCTATGTTTTTTCTATTTGATTTATTTCTGTATTCTTTCCTTCTTTGTGCTAATTTTGGGTTTACTTTGTTCTTTTTTTATTTCCTTGATGCATAATGTTAGTTATTTATTTGAAATATTTCTTTTTTTAATGTAGTTATTTATTGCTATAAACTTCCCTCTTAGACCCACTTTTGCTGCATCATGTAAGTATTGGTATATCTTATTTCCATTGTCATTTGTTTCAGAATATTTTTAAATTTCCTTTTTGATTTCTTCTTTGACCCGTTGGTTGCCCAGGAGCATCCTGTTTAATTTTCACATATTTTTGAATTTTCCAAAATTCCTCCTGTTGTTGATTTCTAGTTTTATACTATTGTGGTCAAAATGACACTTGATGTGACTTTAATATTATTAAATTTGTTAGGACTTGTTTTGCAGCCTAACATGTGGTCCATCCTGGAGAATGTTTTATGTGCACTAGAGAAGAATGTGTATTTTGCTGTTGTTGGATGGAATATTCTGTAGATGTTTATTAAGTCCATTTGGTCTAAAGTATAGTTCACATTCAGTATTTCTTTATTAATGCTTTCTCTGGTTGATATGTGTTGAAAGTGAGGTATTGACGTACCCTACTATTATTGTATTGCTGTTTCATCCCTTCCTGTCTATTAATATTTGTTTTATATATTTAGTTGCTCCAATGTTGGGAACATATATATTTATAATTATTATGTCTTCTTGATGAATTGACTTTTTTATCATTAAATACTGACCTTTGTCTTTTCTGAAAGTTTTTGACTTGACATCTGTTTTATCTGATATACGTATACCCACCTCTGCTCTTTTTTGGTTACCATTTGCATGGAATATGTTTTTCATTCATTTACTTTCAGCCTGTGTGCATCCTTAAAGCTAAAGTGAGTTCCTTGTAGGCAGCATGTAGTTGGATCTTTTTTTTTTTTTTTGTCAGTTCAACCATTATATATCTTTTTTAGGGCATTTAATCCATTTACATTCATCCTAGAAAAGGGATTTTCTCCTGCCATTTTGTTAATTGTTTTCTGTTTATTTTGTAGATCCTTTGTTCCTTTCTTCCTCTTGTTGTTTACCTAGCTTTATTTCATTTTTCTCTCTAATTTGCATATTTACTGTATTTTTTGTGTGGTTACCATTGGGCTAACATTAAGAATCTTTCAGTTAAAACAGACTATTAGACTATTTCAAGCTGATAACAACTTAACTTTACTCACATAAAAGTACTCTAGACATTTTCCCTATCCTTAATTTATATTTTTGTTGCCTTAATTTACTTTTTTACCTTTTGTGTGTTCCTTAACTTTGAATTATAGATGTTGTTTTTGACCATTTTGGCTTTTTATGTTTATACTAGAAGATTGAAAGATTTATATAGCACCATTACAGCACTGGGGTATTTTGAGTTTGATTTTGAAGTTACTTCTAGTGGTGAATTATATACTTTCACATACTTTCATGATAGTAATTATTGTCCCTTTGCTTTCAGTTGTGGCACTCTTAAGCATTTCTTGTAAGACTGGTCTAGTGGTGATGAATTCCCTCAGCTTTTGCTTATCTGGGAAGGTCTTTATGTAACCTTAATTTCTGAAGAATAGCTTTGCTGGGTATAGTATTTTTGGCTGCAGTTGTTTTCTTTCAGCTGTCTAAATGTATCATCCCATTTTCTCTTGGCCTGTAAGATTTCTGTTGAGAAGTCAACTAATGATATAATGGAGATTCCCTTGTATGTGACATGTCAGTTTTCTCTGGATGTTTTTAGAATTCTCTCCTTGCCTTTTACTTTTGACAGTTTGGTGATTATGCATCTTGGTAAAGATGTCTTTGGGTTGAACCTGTTTGGGGAGTTTTGAGCTTCCTGGATGTGGATATCAGTATCTCAACCAAGACTTGGGAAATTTTCAGCAATTTTCATTTATTAAAAAAAATTTTTTTAGAGACAGTGTCTTGCTCTGTTGCCCAAGCTGGAGTGCAGTGGCATGGACATAGCTCACTGTAATCTCGAACTCTTGGGGTCAAGTGATCTTCCCCTCCTCAGCCTCTCAAAAATAGCTGGTATTTAGAGATTGCTGCACCATGCCTGACTAACTAAAACACATTTTTTTTGTTTTTTTTTTTTTTGGTAGAGATAGGATCTCACTATGTTGCCCAGGCTTGTCCTGAACTCCTGGCCTCAAGCAGCCCTCTCATTTTGGCTTTCCAGAGTGCTGGGATTACATGTGGATTATTTTATTAAATAAGCTTTCTGTCCCTTTTACTGTCCCTTCTCCTTCTGTAGCTTTCATAATGTGAAAATTTGTTTGCCAGATAGTGTCCTATAAGTCCCATAGGCTTTCTTTACTCTTTTTCATTCTTTTTCCTTTTTCCTCCTGACTGGTTAATTTCAAACACTTGTTTTTAAGTCACAATTCTTTTTTCTACTTTTCTAATCTGCTATTGCAGCTCTATTTTTTTTTTAAATTCATTCATTGGATTCTTCAGCTCCAAGATTTTTGATTGGTTCTTTTTAAATGATTTCTGTCTCTGTTGAGCTTCTCATTCAGATAACTAATCGTTTTCCTGGTTTTGTTGAATTATCTATCTGTATTCTCTTGTGTCTCACTGAGTTTCCTTAAGATCATTATTTGAATTCCTTTTTAGGCAGTTTATAACTTTTCATTTCTTTGGGGTCAGTTACTGGAGAATTACTGTGTTTCTTTTGTGGTGTCACATTTCCTTGCTTTTTCCTATTTTGTGTGTCCTGTCCAGCATTTATATCTGTACATCTCATGGAACAATCACCTCTTCCAAACTTTACATAGTGGTTTTCATAGGGAAAGGCTTTCACCTGTGTGTACCAGTTGGGCAGGTTATGGTGACTCTTGTTCTGAGTGGGCACACTGGTGTAGTTTCTGTGCAGCTTCTTTAACTATAATCAATGTCATTGATGACCTTGGGTGCCTAAGTGGCTTAAGCTTTTAAGAGCTTGTGGCAGCAGTACTGGCAGCATGAGTTGTTAGGATCCTCAGTTGCAAGGACTTTTGGGGTCCTCTAGTTCTTGTTTTCCCAGCAACGGGATGGATCCTAGCTGAGGGGATCCTTCTTGGTGTCTGATCTGACATGGCCCACAGGCAGTCACAGCAGTGCTGGGCTGCAGGGTGCGTGCTTGGATTGGCCGTGGGGCCAATGTGCTGAGCTTGAAACTTCTGTAGCACCTTGGGCTACACATTTACTCTATGAGGTCAGAGTAGATGCAGATCGGCCACAAAGTTAGGGTCTGTGATGCTGAGGTTCACCACAGCAGTTTGTTCCCATGGGGCAGGGATGTAGCTGTGACTCTAATCCTGGGGGCAGGGCACAGAACTGGCATAGCTCTGGAGAAGAAGGGGTGCTCCAGAGGCCTGAGTCGCAGGGAGTAAGAGTCCCAGAGTCAAGAGTACACACCAGAAACTCAGCCCTGGGGCATGAGGCACTATGCAGTGGGGACTCTGGACCCTGGGCTGGTAGTATATGGCAGAGGCCCAAGTTTTGTCAGGCCATGTGCAGCAACAACAGTTACCCAGTAATGGTGGAGCACAGCTGTGTCTTGGGCCCTGGAGGGCAAGCAGTAGCACAATGACGACTCTACTCTCTGAGGAAGTGGGATGCCTCAGCAGCGTAGACGCTGGGGACTAGTCCAGTTCTGTGGAAGTAGGGTGTTGCATCCGTTCCACCTGGAAGACAGGGTGGTTCAGCTCAACCAATGCTCTATTTCCCTGGGATGCGGGACCCTGCATGTTTCAGGTGCCAAGGGGGATCAACTGCTTGGCTAGACCAGTGCACAGGTTCCCTGGGAATTGGAGTGCCACGTCAGCTCCGGTGCTGCTTTGGCTCAGGTGTCAGAGGTGTGACTGCTCTGCTTGGCCAAAGTCCTTATTTCTCAGAAGGTGAAGTGCTGCATTAGCTTAGACCCTGAGGAGTAGGACACAGAAACAACTGGGATGCAGGGGATGGAGTGGCTCCATAGCAGCTTGACCCCAAGGGTAGGGCATTGTAGCAGGTAGGCTTGAGGATGGCAGGTCACCAGACAGGCATGGTGCAGTGATAACAAAACCTCAGGGATGGAAGGGTACAGTAGCTATTTGCCTACAGAGCAGGATGCACTCCCAGAGAGGCTCTGCTTTCAAGATGGTGTAGCACAGTAGCAGGTTGGGCTACAGAAGATGAGGGAGGTGTAGGATTCTTCCTTGGGGTGAACACAGCCGTATGGACTCTGAACAATTCCCTCAGCTGGGCTCAGTACCTATGAGGTCTGCAGAAGTCCACAGTGGTGAAGACTGTGGGTGTTCACGGTGGTGGTGAGGGTTGTTGGGGTTCTTTTGTTTACCTTTTCTTGGAAGAGAGAAGTCCCTCCTGGTTTCAAGCTGACCCTGTCAGGGGAAGTAGTGGTGGAGACAAGGTCTTTTCTTCCCTTCTCTACATGGCCATACTCTGTTTTTGTGCTCTATATATAGAGTTGCTTCTACTCCTTTGCTGCATTCTGGTACTTTCCTTTAGTTATTTTCATCAAGATGTAGTTGTTATTTATTGTTTTGTTTGTTTGTTTTGGTGTGGGGGGCAGTGCTAGGAACTTGTAGTTGGCCACCTTGCTAACATCACTCTATTTTCTTGTTTCTTATGCTTTTGATGTCAATTTTTGATGTCAAGAAGAATCCATTGACAAATCTAAGGTCATGAAGATTTTCCCGTGTTTTCTTTTAAGAGTTAACTTAAAAGAAGCTCACAGATCCATATGAGTTAATTTTTTCCTTTTTTTTTTTTTTTTTTTTTGAGACAAGGTCTCACTCCGTCGCCCAGGCTGAGTGCAGTGGCGCTGTCACAGCTCACTGCAGCCTCGACCTCCCAGCCTCAAGCAATCCCCCCGTCTCAGCCTCCTGAGTAGCTGGGACTACAGGCATATATTGCCACACCCAGGTAATTTTTATTTTTTATTTTTTGTAGAGATGGAGTCTTACTGCGTCACCCAGGCTAGTCTCAAACTGCTGGATGCAAGTGATACTCCTGCCTAGTCTCCCAAAGTGCTGGGATTATAGGTGTGAATCACTGTGCCTGGCCTGAGTTAATTTTTATATATCATATGAATAGGGGCTCACCTTCATTCTTTTGTATGTGGATGTATAGTTGTCCTAGCACCATTTATTGAATTCTTTTCCCACTGAATAGACTTGGTACCCTACTAGAAAATCAACTGAGCATAGATGTATGGGTTTATTTCTAGACTGTCTGTTCTATTCCATTGTCTATATGTTTATCATTGTGCTAGTGCCATACCATTTTGATTACTGTAGCATTTTAGTTAAGTCCCCAAATTAGGCAGTGTGTGTCCTTTAACTTGGTTCTTTTTTTTTTTTTTCCAAGATTGTTTTGGCCATTCAGGATCCCTAGTAATTTCACGTGAATTTGAGGCTTCCGTAAAAATCCTAGGTAATTTTTTCCATTTCTGCAAAACAAAAAAAAGTAATCAAGTGAAAAACAAAAATAGTGATGGAATTTTGATAGACATAACATTGACCCCGTAGATGGCTTTGGGAATTATTGCTGTCTTATAACAATATTAAGTGTTCCTTTTTCTTTTTTTAGACAGAGTGTCACTCTGTCCCCAGGCTGGAGTGCAGTGGCGTGATTTCAGCTCACTGCAACCTCTGCCTCCTGGGTTCAAGTGATTCTCCTGCCTCAGCCTCCCAAGTAGCTGGGATTACAGGCAGGTGCCACCACGCCAGTCTAATTTTTGTATTTTTAGTAGAGAAAGCGTTTCACCATGTTGGCCAGGCTGGTCTCGAACTCCTGACCTCAAGTGATCTGCCCACCTTGGCCTCCTAAAATGTTGGGATTATGGGCATGAGCCACCATGCCTGGCCGGTTTTAAGTCTTCCAATGTATGAACATGGGATAGCTTTCTATTTAATTACGTCTTTTTAAACTTTTTTTTTGTTTGAGACAGAGTCTTGCTCTGTCACCTAGGTTGGAGTGCAGTGGTGCGATCTTGGCTTACTGCACCCTCTGCCT
This sequence comes from Homo sapiens, assembly GCF_000001405.40. Lineage (NCBI taxonomy): Eukaryota > Metazoa > Chordata > Mammalia > Primates > Hominidae > Homo > Homo sapiens. The sequence goes on from NC_000009.12 coordinate 105,739,973, forward strand.
TCCGGGTTCAAGTGATTCTCCTGCCTCAGCCTCCCGAGTAGCTGGGATTACAGGTGCACACCACCATGCCCAGCTAGTTTCTGTATTTTTAGTAGAGACGGGGTTTCACCATGTTGGCCAGGCTGGTCTCGAACTCCTGACCTCAGGTAATCCACCCGCCTTGGCCTCCGAAAGTGTTGGGCTTACAGGTGTGAGCCACCACTCCTGGCCTTAAACTTTTTTCAGTAATGTTTTATAGTTTTTAGTGTGCAAGTCTTCCACTTCCTTCATTAAATTTATTCCTAGGTGTTTTTTTTTTTTTTTTTTGAAACAGGGTCTTGCTCTGTTGCCCAGGCCAGAGTGCAGTGAAGTGATCTTGGCTCTCTTCAATCTCCCTGTCGTCCTCCCAGGCTCTAGTGATCCTCCCATCTCAGCCTCCCAGGTAGCTGGGACCACAGGCATATGCCACTGTGCCCAGCTAATTTTTGTGTTTTTTGTAGAGACCAGGTTTCACCAGGTTGCCCAGGCTGGTCTTGAACTCGTGAGGTCAAGCGATCCACCCTCTTAGCCTCCCAAAGTGCTGGAATTACAAGCGTGAGCCACCACGCCCGGCCCCTAGGTATTCTTTAAATGCTAGTACGTGGAATTGTTTCTTAATTGCCTTTCATATTGCTTATTGCTGCCAGTTCATTTAATGAAAAAATCTAGTCCTGCCAAAAACGAAGTCAAGTTGTCCCCTGTCCCCACAAGTAACTCTTTTAGAGTGTTTTCCTTCTTTTCCTTCTCCACCTCCAAGTTTTAAGAAGTAAAATATACGTATTGTGGAAAATTTGGGGAAATGTTAACATAAAAGAAACTTCTAATCTATTGTTTAGTGACAATTTCTGTTAATGTGTCAGTATATTTCTATATTTTTCTGCATAAATATATTTTTACAGTAAATAAATGCAGTAAGACTGAACAATGGTTTCTAAAGTTCTAATGGTGTTTAACCTCTGGAACCTGAAATGTTACCGATATGGGAACATGTTCTTTGCATATCTGCAAATTAAAAATCTTGAGATGAAGAGGTCCTCCTGGATTTCTGGTGGGACGGAATGCAGTCACATGTATCCTTATAAGAGGAAAACAGAGGGAGATTTGACCACACATCTGAGAGATTAGAATGCTATAGCCACAAGCCAAGTTAGCCACCAGAAGCTGAAAAAGACAAGGAATGGATTCTCTCCTACTGACGCTGATTTTGACTGATACTGATTTTAAATTTCTCTGTTTTTAAACCACTGAGCTTGTTATAATTTATTACACTAGCCACAGGAAAGTAATAGAGATTTTGGTACAGGATATGGTGTGCTGCTGTAACAGATACCTGGGATTAGATAATTGGTGGAGGCTAGAGGAATTTTGAAGTGCACAGTGGAATTATGGATGTTAAAGGCATTTCTGGTGAGGGGTCCGAAGGAAGTGAGGAGCATATTAGAGCCTATAAATATATAGTCTTTGATAATACATATATTGTTATAAGCAAAATGTACATGTAGGAATATTGTTAAAGGTGCTGGTGAAGACTTCGAAGGAAATAAGGAACATGATATTGGGAACTGGAGAAAGGTTATCCTTGTTATATTGTGGTGGAAACTTAGCTGCACAATTGTTTGCCACAGTTGTGTGGAAAGCATAACTTGTGATCAGTGAATGTGGATGTTTTTGCTGAGGAAATTTCCAAGCAAAGTGTTCCAGGTACAGCCTGGTTTCTTCCTGATGCTTATAATAAAGTGCAAGAGGAAAGAGTTAAATTGAGGGAATAAATGCTACTAACCAAACAAATAAAACCCCTCAAAACCAGGACTCAATCATTTGGGAAATTCTCAGCCTATTGAGATTGCAAAGTTGATAAAACTGAGATTCACTCTGGAGAGAAGTGAGGGTGTGACTGGTCAACTTTTCCTAGTGTTGAAGGGATTGGATGTTTGACTCCTGGATCCATTCAATTGTTATAGCAGAAGCCAGGGATAGAGAGGAGGTTATACAAGAAAGATCTGTGGAAGACTCTCTTTGCCTAGTGACATGGATTGCTGTGCATACACAGGAGACCCACTGGGGATTTGGAAATATTAAATCAGAAGAAACACTGCCAGCTTGGACTGAAAGGAGAAAGACAGGATTAAATGAAAGAAGGCTGTCAGACTTTTAAAATTCTGCATGCCAGAATCAGGCTGATAAAACTGCTCAGCTGCAAACATATGCTTGAAAAAGAAAGGAAAAGGAAGAATGACTTCATGGTAGGAGCTACAGGCCTAGAGGCCTGTGGCCAGGCCCATAGGCTGGATTCAGGTGCAGAGGTCAGAACCACCAATGTAGAGGTTGAAGCTGTGGACTCACCTCAAGCCACAGAAGATTATTCCCAGGCTTTGAATCCTAATGGAATTTGCCCTTCTGGATTTCAAAATGGCTTGGGACTGTTGAACCTTTTTCCTCCTCTTTTCTCCCTTTTGGAATGGCAATATCTTTAACTGTTATTCAATGCTTATTTCACCATTGCATTTTGGAAGCAGATAACTTGTTTGCTAGTTTCAGAGGAAACTAATATAGTAAGCATAAGAATTTTCTAAATGCATTCTAATCTTTTAAACAAATCCATACTCCAATTTAAAATGGACTTCTTCCTAAATTTAAGCCCTTCTCCAATGCCTTGCCCCAGTGCATTTTCTATGAAATCCTTGTTCCTTAGACTCAACCCTTAAGAGAATACAATCCAAAATGGTAGATGTGTATGCCAAGGTGATGCGCATAATGAGCCACTGTGGTGCAGAAAACAAACAGTGAGAAAGAAAGAGTAGCAGAATAACCTTAAAACAGATATAATTCCATGTTTTTATCTTATCCTTTTAAATTTTTAATTTTGTGTACATTTTATAATACAGTTACACATATAATTTCCAAATTAATTGATAACCATAATTTGGGAATGTTGTAAAACTTTTTTTTTAACCAATAGGAATGTACAATCAAAAAGGTTTAGAGACCACCGTTCTAAAACATGACTGTTGGCGGTGCATTTGGTGGTCCCGCGGATCTGTTCCTTGCTTCAACAGTGTTTGGATGGAACAGATCTGGGGACTAAAGAAAAAAACAAAGAAGAAGAAAACAATAAAATAAAACATGACTGTTACCCAATCATATTGTTAAGCGAGATCCAGAACCTGAAAAAGACAAGGAATGGATTCTTTCTTAGAGTTTCTGGAAGTAGTGTGGCCCTACTGACACTTTGATTTTAACTGAGTGATACTGATTTTAGATTTTTCTATTTTAAGCCACTGAATTTGTTGTAATTTATTGCCATAGCCACAGGAAAGTAATACAAGTTTGGTCTGTTGTCCAAACCTCATCCTGCTTTGAACTCAGTCCTTAGCTTGCAATAATTAAATAAATAAAATAATAAAATGGCTTATAGGAACCTTTAGATTTGTCCTGTTTTGCAGTGTGGCATTCTTAGAGTTTATCATTTATCTTTTTTACTTGTAAGATAGAGAGTTAGACAATAATTTGTTACTGAGATATACTTTAAATATGTGGCAAATATATAACATGAAGTGATGCTTCTTATTTGGTAAATTAGCATCTTATTTTAGACTTTACAATTTAAGCATTAATATATTAGCTAAAAATAATATGCTGTCCTGGAGTTAGCTAAATGATGGGCTGCAGATGGCTTTTATTGTTTTATGAGAACCAGTTGTGTACATCTCTCCTCTTCCATAGAGCACCCTGACATTGGCCATGATGTGAGTATTTACATCATGGAAATGGGCAAATGCTAAAAATCCGGGCTTTCTTTTCCTGCATTCCACCCTGTGAGCTTTTTAGCACTGTAAGGTTTTTAAAGACTAATTCCAAATCATGCTATACAATGTGGAACTTTGAAATCCTTTATGAAAAAATTGTTATATACCCAAATATGTTTCAGAAATATTGTGTATAGAAATGTACTCTTTTTGTTGGAGAGTCAGAATATGTATGGTTATTCTAAAATCTATAGTTTATGATGTGAAGAAAGGTATTTAACTTTGTATAACTCAGCATTTTCTTTTTTTTTATTTTTGCTAAGTTTAATTCCTTTATTTGACAAAAGACATCATAAATAAATACCAAAACCATGGGTTGGGATAAAATATTTATAATGGCTAAAACCAGCAAAGAATTCGTATGTAAAATATAATTTATATATAAAATCATAAATTAACAAGAAAAATATAAACAATAGAAGAATGGATGAAGGCTGTGAACAATTTACAAAAGATAATCCTGAATAACTTGAAATTTATAGGAGTAAAAAATGAGACATGTTTTCATAGATTTTCTATTCTTTCAGTTGAATATGAGGAGTATATAGGAAGACAATAAATGAGTATTGTCAACCTGCCATTTTTAACTTAGAACGTGTTATTTTGCATCAATAATCTGAATATTTTTGCAAAGAATAGGATCGTAGCACTGTCTACGTATCCAAGTATGAAGGCATACTTGGGATGAATATATACTCAAGCTGCTTTTACTTTCCATCTAGTCCTAAGAAAAGATATTTATTGACTGTTTTAGCAATGTAATTTCTTTTTTTTATTTTTTTATTTTTTATTTTTATTTTTTATTTTACTTTAAGTTTTAGGGTACATGTGCAGAACGTGCAGGTTTGTTACATATGTATACATGTGCCATGTTGGTGTGCTACACCCATTAACTCGTCATTTAACATTAGGTATATCTCCTAATGCTATCCCTCCCCATTTCCCCCACCCCATGACAGGCCCTGGTGTGTGATGTTCCCCTTCCTGTGTCCATGTGTTCTCATTGTTCAATTCCCACCTATGAGTGAGAACATGTGGTGTTTGGTTTTTTGGTCCTTGCGATAGTTTGCTGAGAATGATGGTTTCCAGCTTCATCCATGTCCCTACAAAGGACATGAACTGATCATTTTTTATGGCTGCATAGTATTCCATGGTGTATATGTGCCACATTTTCTTAATCCAGTCTATCATTGTTGGATATTTGGGTTGGTTCCAAGTCTTTGCTATTGTGAATAATGCCGCAATAAACATATGTGTGCATGTGTCTTTATAGCAGCATGATTTATAATCCTTTGAGTATATACCCAGTAATGGGATCGCTGGGTCAAATGGTATTTCTAGTTCTAGATCCCTGAGGAATCGCCACACTGTCTTCACAATGGTTGAACTAGTTTACAGTCCCACCAACAGTGTAAAAGTGTTCCTATTTCTCCACATCCTCTCCAGCACCTGTTGTTTCCTGACTTTTTAATGATCACCATTCTAACTGGTGTGAGATGGTATCTCATTGTGGTTATGATTTGCATTTCTCTGATGGCCAGTGATGATGAGCATTTTTTCATCTGTCTGTTGGCTGCATAAATGTCTTCTTTTGAGAAGTGTCAGTTCGTATCCTTCGCTCACTTGTTGATGGGGTTGTTTGTTTTTTTCTTGTAAATTTGTTTGAGTTCTTTGTAGATTCTGGATATTAGCCCTTTGACAGATAAGTAGATTGCAAACATTTTCTCCCATTCTGTAGGTTGCCTGTTCACTCTGATGGTAGTTTCTTTTGCTGTGCAGAAGCTCTTGAGTTTAATTAGATCCCATTTGTCAATTTTGACTTTTGTTGCCATTGCTTTTGGTGTTTTAGACATGAAGTCCTTGCCCATGCCTATGTCCTGAATGGTATTGCCTAGATTTTCTTCTAGGATTTTTATGGTTTTAGGTCTAACATTTCAGTCTTTAATCCATCTTGAATTAATTTTTGTATAATTACAAAAATTAATTTCAGTTTTCTACATATGGCTAGCCAGTTTTCCCAGCACCATTTATTAGGTAGGGAATCCTTTCCCCATTTCTTGTTTTTGTCAGGTTTGTCAAAGATGAAATAGTTGTAGATGTGTGGTATTATTTCTGAGGGCTCTGTTCTGTTCCATTGGTCTATATCTCTGTTTTGGTACCAGTACCATGCTGTTTTGGTTACTGTAGCCTTGTAGTATAGTTTGAAGTCAGGTAGCATGATGCCTCCAGCTTTGTTCTTTTGGCTTAGGATTGACTTGGCAATGCGGGCTCTTTTTTGTTTACATATGAACTTTAAAGTAGTTTTTTCCAATTCTGTGGAGAAAGTCATTGGTAGCTTGATGGGGATGGCATTGAATCTATAAATTAACTTGGGCAGTATGGCCATTTTCACGATATTGATTCTTCCTACTCATGAGCATGGAATGTTCTTCCATTTGTATCCTCTTTTATTTCATTGAGCAGTGGTTTGTAGTTCTCCTTGAAGAGGTCCTTCACATCCCTTATAAGTGGGATTCCTAGGTATTTTATTCTCTTTGAAGCAATTGTGAATGGGAGTTCACTCATGATTTGGCTCTCTATTTGTCTGTTATTGGTGTATAAGAATGCTCGTGATTTTTGCACATTGATTTTGTATCCTGAGACTTTGCTGAAGTTGCTTATCAGCTTAAGGAGATTTTGGGCTGAGACGATGGCGTTTTCTAAATATACAATCATGTCATCTGCAAACAAGGACAATTTGACTTCCTCTTTTCCTAACTGAATACTCTTTATTTCTTTCTCCTGCCTGATTGCCCTGGCCAGAACTTCCAACACTATGTTGAATAGGAGTGGTGAGAGAGGGCATCCCTGTCTTGTGCCAGTTTTCACAGGGAATGCTTCCAGTTTTTGCCCATTCAGTATGATATTGGCTGTGGGTTTGTCATAAATAGCTCTTATTATTTTGAGATGCGTCCCATCAGTACCTAATTTATTGAAAGTTATTAGCATGAAGGGCTGTTGAATTTTGTCAAAGGCTTTTTCTGCATCTATTGAGATAATCGTGGTTTTTGTCATTGGTTCTGTTTATATGCTGGATTATGCTTATTGATTTGCGTTTGTGGAACCAGCCTTGCATCCCAGGGACGAAGCCCACTTGATCATGGTGGATAAGCTTTTTGATGTGCTGCTGGATTCGGTTTGCCAGTATTTTATTGAGAATTTTTGCATCGATGTTCATCAGGGGTATTGGTCTAAAATTCTCTTTTTTGGTTGTGTCTCTGCCAGGCTTTGGTATCAGGATGATGCTGGCCTCATAAAATGAGTTAGAGAGGATTCCCTCTTTTTCTATTGATTGCTATAGTTTCAGAAGGAATGGTACCAGCTCCTCCTTGTACCTCTGGTAGAATTTGGCTGTGAATCCGTCTGGTCCTGGACTTTTTTTGGTTGGTAAGCTATTAATTATTGCCTCAATTTCAGAGCCTGTTATTGGTCTATTCAGAGATTCAATTTCTTCCTGGTTTAGTCTTGGGAGAGTGTATGTGTCGAGGAATTTATCCATTTCTTCTAGATTTTCTAGTTTATTTGTGTAGAGGTGTTTATAGTATTCTCTGATGGTAGTTTGTATTTCTGTGGGATCGGTGGTGATATCCCCTTTATCATTTTTTATTGCGTCTATTTGAGTCTTCTCTCTTTTCTTCTTTATTAGTCTTGCTAGCGGTCTATCAATTTTGCTGATCTTTTCAAAAAAACAGCTCCTGGATTCATTGATTTTTTGAAGGGTTTTTTGTGTCTCTATCTCCTTCAGTTCTGCTTTGATCTTAGTTATTTCTTGCCTTCTGCTAGCTTTTGAATGTGTTTGCTCTTGCTTCTCTAGTTCTTTTAATTGTGATGTTAGGGTGTCAATTTTAGATCTTTCCTGCTTTCTCTTGTGGGCACCTAGTGCTATAAATTTCGCTCTACACACTGCCTTACATGTGTCCCAGAGATTCTGGTATGTTGTGTCGTTGTTCTCGTTGGTTTCAAAGAACATCTTTATTTCTGCCTTCATTTTGTTATGCACCCAGTAGTCATTCAGGAGCAGGTTGTTCAGTTTCCATGTATTTGAGCAGTTTTGAGTGAGTTTCTTAATCCTGTAACTCAGCACTTTCAACACTTTTTAAAGTGTTTTAACAAAACTCATTTTTGCATTACATCTATTAATAACCCATTAAGTTAATGTTTTGCAGTGCACTCTTTGAGAAAGTTAGAGATATGTCATATTTATTACTTGCTGATTTAAAATGTGTTTTATTTTCAGCCCTGCCAAGGTAACCCTGCTGGGGTCAGTTATCTTCACATTCCAGCACACCCAGCATCTGGCAATATCAAAGCATAATCTTATGTTCCTTTATACCATCTTTATTGTGGCCACAAAGGTAAGAATTCAAAGTACCTATAATTATTACAAATCCTGTATAACTATTCCCCTTTGATACAATTTTGCATGCTGGGCAAGTAAGAGGAACATTTATTTATTATTATTATCTAAGAGGAATAATTTGGGGAGCTTTACTCAGCACATCCATGACTTTCTGAAACTTAGCTTTTCTGTGATTTCTCATTTGCTTTATGCTAGGGCTATCAGGACACAGTGGCAGATAGCCTAGTAGTATATTGGAGAAGACAGAGTAGTGGAAATAGCCAAGGCTGATCAGAGACTGCGAAGATGATACTGTCTCATTTGTAAAATGAGGCACTTGAGATAGATATTCTCTGAATTTCCTTTAAGCTCTAAAATTTCAAATATTTTATATTAGGACATATTTGTAGTCATTCTTTTCTATTACTATTGCCTGGTTGGAAGCTTTATTCCTTCCTGAAGATAGGTTAGAGACAGGCAGTCTTGGGTTCAAATCCCAGTTTTGCTGCCTAGTCCCTGAATAGGCAAGCCACTTAATGTCTCTGAATCCTGATTTTCTCATCTTCATTGTATGATTGTTGAGAGGATTGGAGAGGATGCATGTCTTTCTGTCACTGTATCTCATGTATCTTACGAATTTTGTTTGCAGCTGTATCATGAGGCTAATTCTGACTGTTCATACCATGATTAAGTATTGTTCCCTATTCGCAAGTAGACAATTGATTTTGTAATAAGATTATTATTTAAGTCTAGAAAATTTTATGGCCACCTCTGTTTTAGACTAGATATTTTTGGCTAAAAACTTATCTACAGGATTTTTAAAAGGAAAACAGGATAGATTATATAAATATGTGTCTTAGAATGAAGTCACTGTGTGAATCATTTATTTTTGTTTCAGTAGTCTCTGAATTGGAGATGATCTGTGGCTGTAATTCAGGTAACAAATATTGGAGGCAAAATCTCTTCACATGTAGTCTCTTCCAGTCCTCAAATGTTGAGCCGTGTATATTTTTTTCTAACAGCTTTATTGAGATATATTTTCCATACTGTGTTAGTCTGTTCTCATGCTGCTAATAAAGACATACCTGATACTGGGTAATTTATAAAGAAAAAGAAGTTTAAGGGACTCACATTTCCACATGGCTGGGGAGGCTTCACAATCATGGTGGAAGGTGGAGGAGGAGCAAAGGCACATCTTACATGGTGGCAGGCAAGAGAGCTTGTGCAGGGGAACTCCCATTTATAAAACCATCAGATTTCGTGAGACTTACTATCCCAAGAACAGCACAGGAAAGACCCTCATGATTCAGTTACCTTCATCTGGCCCCGCCCTTGTACAATTCAAGGTGAGATTTGAGAGTGGAGATATGAGTGATGTATGGTTTGAGCCAAACCATATCACATATCATACAATGCACTTAAACTGTATAATTGAATAGTTTTTTAGTATATTCATGGATTTGTGCAATTATCACTACAAATCAGTATTAGAACATTTTTATCACTCCAAAAAGAAACATCGTATTCTTTAGAAGTCATTTCACATTTTCCCCAATACTTCCAGCTATAGGCCATTTTATTTATCCATTCATCAGTTGATGGACATTTTGATTGTGTCACTTTTTGGCTAATATGGATAATGAGCTGTGAACATTCATGTAAAAATTTTTGTGTGGACATGTGATTCATTTCTCTTGAGTATATCATCTGTGAATGGAATTTTTAGGCCATATGTTAATTCTGTTTATCCTTTTGAGGAACTGATGCATTGTTTTCCAAAGTGGCTTTATCTTTTTATATTCCCACCAGCAATGTGTGAGATTTCCAATTTCACCACACCATTACTAGCGCATATTATTGTCTTTTTTATTATAGCCACCCTAGTGGGTGTGAAGTGGCATCTCACTGTGGTTTTGATGTACATCTGAGTATCTTTTTTGTGCTTGTTAGGTATTTGTATATCTTCTTTGGGAAAATATCTAGTCAGATCATTTGCCCATTTTCAATTTATATTTTGTTTTAGTGTTGAGTTGTAAAATTCTTTTCATATTTTGGATACTAGAATCTTACCAGACTTAATGATTTGCAGATATTTTCTTCCATTCTGTAAGTTTTTTTTTTCACTGATAGTGCCCTTAGAAGCACAAACTGGTAAAATTTTGTTGAAGGCCGGGCACAGTGGCTCACACCTATAATCCCAGCACTTTGGGAAGCTGAGGTGGGCAGATCACCTGAGGTCAGGAGTTTGAGACCAGACTAGCCAACATGGTGAAACCCCATCTCTACTAAAAATATAAAAATTAGTTGTGCGCGCCTGTAATCCCAGCTACTCAGGAGGCTGAGGCAGTAGAATCACTTGAACCAGGGAGGCAGAGGCTGCAGTGAGATGAGATTGTGCCACTGCACTCAAGCCTGGGCAACAGAGAAAGACTCTGTCTCAAAAAACAAAAAACAAAAAACACACATTTTTTTTATGAGTCCAATTTACCTATTTTCTCTTTTATTATGTATTCTTTGTGTGTCATAGCTAAGAAACCGTTGCCAAATCTAAGGTCATGAAGATTTACCTCTATATTTTCTTCAAGAGTTTTATAGTTTTAGCTCTTGTATTTAGTTTTTATGATCTGTTTTGAGTTAAATTTTGTGTATGGTATGACGAACAGTCCAAGTTTTCTCATGTGGATATATAGTTGTCTGAGCACTATTTATTGTAAAAACCGTTCTTTTCCTTTGTGAATTGCCTTTACAATCTTGTCAAAAATCAGTTGACTGTAAATTTGAGGGTTTATTTCTAGATTCTCAATTTTATTCCATCCATATGTGTGCCTGTCCTTATGCTATTACCATTACGTCTTAATTGTTGTAGCATTGTAGTTAGTTTTGAAATCAAGACGTGTGACTCTGGTAGGATCCAAGATGGCTGATTAGAAGCAGCTGTGGTCCATGGCACTCATGGAGAGAAGTGAAAAGGGGCAAGTGAATTCAGCACCTTCAACTGAAATAGCCAAGTTCTTGCATTGGGACTGTCTAGGCAGACAGCTTAACCCATGGAGAAGGAAGAAAAGCAGTGGGGTGGGGGACCATGGCCCACCTGGGAGCAGCATGGGGCCAAAGGAACCCCCATTGCCAGCCAAGGGAAGCAGTGAGTGATTATGCAACCTTGCCCAGGGAACCACGCTTTTCTCATGGACCTTTGCGACCCGTAGATCAGGAAATCCCATCGTGAGCCCATGCCACCAGGGTCTTGGGTCCAATACACACAGCTGTGTGGAGTTTTGGCAGAGCAGCTGCTCAGTCATACACAGAGACCCAGGAGTTTATATACTCTGGCCCTGGAGTCCTTAGCAAGTGAGGAAATCCATCCGTACATATTCCTAGGAAGAGGGCTGAATCCAGGGAACCAAGCAGCATTGTGCTGCAGGCCCCACTTCCATGGCATCTCATAATTTAAGACCCACTGGCTTGGGTTCCAGCCTGCCAACAGCAATAGGCTGGAATATGTCTGAGACAGGTCTTGAGTTCCTGGGGGGAGGGGCGGCTGGCATCTATGCAGTTTGGTAGACTCAGCCGTTCCAGCCTGCCAGCTTTGGAGAATACAAACAGTCCAGATGAGGAAGGGTCCCCCACAATGCAGCACAGCTGCCTTGGCAGATCATGGCCAGACTGCTTCTTTAAGCAGGACCCTGATTCATTCCTCCTCACTGGGCAGGACCTTCCTGTGGGGCCTTTAGCCACTTCAGAAGGGTTCTATTGGGACGTAGCTCTCAGGGGGAGGAGTGGCCGCCATTTTTGTGGTTTGGTAGACTCAGCTGCTGTAGTCTGCTGGCTTTGGAGAATACAAATGTTACAGATGAGAAAGAGTTTCCCCACAATGCAGCACAGCTGCTTTGCTAGATCATTACCAGACTGTTTTTTTAAGCCGGGCCATGATCCATTCCTCTTCACTGGAGAGGACCTCCCTACGGGGACTTCATCCATTCCAGCCAGGGTTCTCCATCTCTCCCTGGGATGGAGCTCCCAGAGGGAGGGGCAGTCACCATCTCTGTGACTCAGTTGACTCATCCATTCTAGGCTGCCGGCTTTGGAATGCCCAAATGGTTCAGACAAGGAAGGTCTCCCCCAGTGCAGCACACCTCTACCAAAAAGCAGCCAGACTGCTTTTTTAAGCGGGTCCCTGATCCTGTTCCTCCTGACTGGGTGAGACCTCCCAACAGGGATCTGTAACCACCTCCTACAGGTGTGTTCGGTCTGGCAGCAGGTCAGAACCCACCTGGGGCAGAGCTTCCAGAGGAAGGAGCTGGCTGCCATCTTTGCTGTTTCATAGCCATCACTGATGATACCTCCAGGTTTGGGAAAAACCAAGGTAACAAGGGTCTGGAGTGGACCCTCAGCAAACCGCAGCAACCCTGTGGTAGACTGGCCTGACTGTTAAAAACAAACAGAAAACAACAACAACATAAACAAAAAAGGCCCCACAAAAACCCCATTCAGAAGTCAGCAACTTCAAAGATCAAAGGTAGATAAGCCCACAAAGATGAGAAAGAATGCAAAAATGGTGAAAACTCAAAAAGCCAGAGTGCCTCTTCTCCCCAAAATGATTGCAACATCTCTGCAGCAAGGGCATGGAACTAGGCTGAGGCTGAGATGCCTGACTTGACAAAAGTAGGCTTCAGAAGGTGAGTAATAATGAGCTTCACTGAGCTAAAGGGGCATGTTCTAACCCAATGGAAAGAAGCTAAGAATCATGATAAAACGATAAAGGAGCTGATAGCTAGAATAGCCAGTTTAGAGAGGAACATAATTGACCTGATGGAACTGGAAAACACAACATGAGAACTTCACAATGCAATCACGAGTATCAACAGCAGAATACATGAAGCAGAGGAAAGCAGCTCAGAGCTTGAAGACTATCTTTCTGAAATAAGACAGGCAGACAAAAATAGAGAAAAAATAATGAAAAAGAATGAACAAAATCTCTGAGAAATAGGGGATTATGTAAAGAGACAGAACCTATGATTGGAGTACTTGAAAGAGACGAGGAGAATGGAACCAAGTTGGAAAACATACTTCAGGATATCATCCAGGAGAACTTCCCCCACCTAACAAGACAAGCCAACATTCAAGTTCAGGAAATCCAGGGAACCCAGTTAGATACTCCATGAGAAGTTCAACCCCAAGACACATAATCATCAGATTCTCCAAGGTCGAAATGAAAGAAAAAATGTTAAGGGCAGCCAGAGAGAAAAACCAGGTCACCATCAAAGGGAAACCCAGCAGACTAACAGTGGACCTCTCAGTGGAAACCCTACGAGCCAGAAGAGATTGGGGGCCAATATTCAATATTCTTAAAGAAAAGAATTTCCAACCCAGAATTTCATATCCAGCCAAACTAAGCTTCATAATTGAAGGAGAAATAAGATCCTTTTCAGACAAGCAAATGCCGAGGGAATTCATGACCACCAGGCCTGCTTTGCAAGAGCTCCTGAAGGAAGCACTAAATATGGAAAGGAAAAACCATTACCAGCCATTACAAAAACACACTGAAGCACAGACCAGTGACACTATGAAGCAACCATATAAACAAGTCTGCAAAATAACCAGCTAGCATCATGATGATAGGATCAAATTTACATAACAACAATACTAACCTTAAATATAAATGGGCTAGAGGCCCCAATTTAAAGACACAGAATGGCAGGCTGGATAAAGAGCCAAGACCCATCAGTATTCTGTCTTCAAGAAACCCATATTCCATGCAAAGACACACATAGGCTCAAAATAAAGGGATGGAGGAAAATTTACCAAGCAAATGGAAAACAGAGAAAAGCAGGGTTGCAATCCTAGTTTCAGACAAAACAGACTTTAAAACTAATGAAGGTAAAAAAAGACAAAGAAGTGCATTGCATAATGGTAAAGGATTCTAAATATATATGAACCCAATACAGGAGCACCCAGATTCATAAAGCAAGTCCTTAGAGATCTACAAAGGGACCTAGACTTCCACACAATAATAGTGGGAGACTTTAACACCCTACTGACAATATTAGATCATTGAGACAGAAAATTAACAGAGATATTCAGGACCTGACCTCAGCTCTGGATCAAGCAGAGCTGATAGATATCTACGGAACTCTCCACTCAAAAGCAACAGAATGTACATTCTTCTCATTGCCACACAGCACTTAATATAAAACTGACCACATAATTGGAAGTAAAACACTCCTCAGCAAATGTAAAAGAACTGAAATAATAACAGTCTCTCAGACCACAGATCAAATTAGAACTCAAGACTAATAAATGCACTCAAAACCAGACAACTTCATGGAAATTGAACAACCTGCTCCTGAACGACTCTTGGGTAATTAATGAAATTAAGGCAGAAATCAAGAAGTTGTTTGAAACTAATGAGAACAAAGAGACAGCATACCAGAAACTCTGGGATGCAGCTAAGGCAGTGTTAAGAGGGAAATTTATAGCACTAAATGCCCACATAAAAACCTAGAAAGATCTCAAGTTAACAACCTATCACCTCAACTGAAAGAACTAGAGAACCAAGAGGAAACCCCAAAGCTAGCAGAGGACAAGAAATAATCAAGATCAGAGTTGGACTGAAGGAGATGGAGACACAAAAAGCCCTTCAAAAAAATCAACAAATCCATGAGCTGGTTTTTGGAAAACGTTTATAAATAGACTACTAGCTAGACTAATAAAGAAAAACAGAGAAGAATCAAATAAACACAATCAGAAATGATAACACTGACCCCACAGAAATACAAACAACCATCTATATAGAGAATACTGTACTATATACTATAAGCAGAGAATACTAGAAACACCTCTATGCAAATAAACTAGAAAATCTAGAAGAAATGGATAAGTTCCTGGACACATACACCCTTGCAAGACTGAACCAGGAAGAAGTTGAATCTCCAGATAGACCAGTAATTAGTTCTTAAATTGAGGCAGTAATACATAGCCTACCAACCAAAAAAAGCCCAGGACCAGATGGATTCACAGCTGAATTATACCAGAGGTACAAAGAATTGCTGGTACCATTCTACTGAATCTAGTCCAAAATATTGAAAAGGAGAGACTCCTCCCTAACACACACTAGGGCCTGTCGGGGAGGTGGAGGGAGGGAGAGCATCAGAAAAATAGCTAATGGATGCTGGGCTTAATACCTGTGTGATGGGATGATCTGTGCAGCAGTCCATCATGACACACATTTACCTGTGTAACAAACCTGCACATCCTGTACATGTACCCCGATGTTAAATAAAAGTTGAAGAATGAAGAAAAATAGATAATAAAAAAGAAGTGTGACTCCTCTGAGTTTGTTGTTCTTTTTCAGAATTGTTTGACTATTCTGGATCACTACCATTGCCATATGAACTTTAGGAACAACTTCACAGTTTCTGCAAAGAAGCCAGCTCTTATTTTGATAGGGATTGCTTTAAATCTGTAAATTGACTTGAGAATAATTGCCATCTTAACAATAAGGTTTCCAATTCATTAACACAAGAGTTCTTTTGATTTAGTTGGGCCATCTTTGTTTTCAATATACAAGTCTTACACTTTTTTTGTTAAATTTATACCTAAGTATTTTATTCTTCTTTGATTTTATACTAAATACAATTGTTTTAAAATTTCACTTCCAGGCTGTTTATTACAAATATGTAGAAATACAATTGATATTTGTATATTGATTTTGTATCCTGCAACCTTGCTGAACTCATTTATTAGTTCTAATAGATGTTTTAAAAGGCAGATTCCTGGCTGAGCATGGTGGATCATGCCTGTAATCCTAGCACTTTGGGAGGCCAAGGTTGGCAGATCTCTAGAGGTCAGGAGTTCAAGACCAGTCTGGCCAACATGGTGAAATCCTATCTACTAAAAATACAAAAACAGAGGTTTCAGTGAGCCGAGATCGCGCCATTGCACTCTAGCCTGGGCAACAGAGCCAGACTCTGTCTCAAAAAACAAATAAATAAATAATAAAATAGAAGGTAGATTCCTTAGGATTTTCTATATGCAGGATTATGGCATCTGCAGATAGAGATAATTTTACTCTTTACTTTTCAATCTGCATGTCTTTAATTTTCTTGCCCAGTTGTCCTGGCTAGAACCTTCAGTATAGTGTTGATAGAAATGGAGAGAATGAGCATTCTTGTCTTTTTCTTGATCTTAGGGAGAAAGCATTTGGTATTTCACTATTAAGTATAATGTTGGCTGTGGGTTTTTCCTAGATGACTTTTAGCAGAGTAGGAAGTTTTCTTCTACTCCTAGTTTGCTGAATGGGTGGGAGCTGTATTATTTTTGAGTTTCTAACTTTAATCTTTAAAGAAAATGAATGTGTATTATGGGTTTGGTAAGAATAAATAGCACTGGTATCTTACATTTTCTTGAGTTACAGCATCAATTTTTGTTCATAGTCTAATTTGTGGAATAAAAATGATAATTTTTCTTACAATTGTTGCTGGATGTAAAGTTCTGTATTTTAACACCCAAACTTAAACACCATACTGCAATGTAATAATAATAAAGATATTTAAAAATAGGAAAACGTACAATGTTGAACATCTCTTATAATATTTCTCAACATTTTCCTAATTATAAAGTATATCCACCAGTTTCTAAATAGAATATTCATTTTTAACTAATTCATTTGCCTAAATCCCATTTAGATTTTACTGATACTGATAATATATTTGATAATCATAATGATTTTTTTATCTTTTAAATTTTATTTCAATAGTTTTTGGGGGACAGGTGTTTTTTTGGTTACATGGATAAGTTCTTTAGTGCTAATTTCTGAGTTTGGTACACCTGTCACCTGAGCGGTGTATACTGTACCCAATGTGTAGTCTTTTGTCCTTCATCTCTCTCCCACCCTTCCCCCCAAGTCCTCAAAGTTCATTGTATCATTCTTATGCCCTTGCATCCTCACAGCTTAGCTCCCACTTATAGAGAACATATGATATTTGGCTTTTCATTTCTGAGTTACTTCACTTAGAATAATGGTCTTCAACTCCATCCAGGTTGCTGCAAATGCCATTATTTTATTATTTTGTTCCTTTTTATGGCTGATTAGTATTCCATGGTGTATACATACCACATTTTCTTTATCTACTTGTTGGTTGATGGGCATTTAGGCTGGTTCCATATTTTTGCAATTGCTAATTGTGCTATAAACATGAGTTTGCAAGTGTCTTTTTCATATAATGACTTCTTTTACTTTGTGGAGATACCCAGTTGTGGGATTACTGGATCAAATGGTAGTTCTACTTTTAGTTCTTTGAAGAATCTCCATACTGTTTTCCATAGTGATTGTACTAGTTTATATTCCCACCAGCAGTGTAAAAGTGTTCCCTTTTCAACACATCTACACCAATATTTTAAAAATATTTAAAAATAAAAATTATTTGAAAAAACACTGAGAAGTGTGGGTTATCTATTGGCTGCTCAGTAAAAGGAGTAATTGTGAAATAGAGCTGTTGTGAAATAAAGCATAAGGAACGGTAAAGAATGACTAAAACTGAAAAGAGGCTGTTGGGTTTCGAAATTAAGAGATACTTGGTGACCTTAGTAAAAGCAATTTCAGTGGACTGGTAAGGGATAGAAAAATGATTGTAATCAATTGAGGTGAATAAAAAAGTGAAGATGAAGAGTATAAACTATTTTAAAGGGATTTGGAGGGAGTATAAACAGGAATAAAACTTGGGAGAGCAGTTTGGCAATATCTGACAAGGTTGAAGATCCACGTATCTTGTGACTTGTTAACTCTATTTTTAGGTATAACCAACAGCAGTGTTTCCCAAGGTATGGTACGGGGCACAACTTTATCAGAACCACTTTAAAAAAATTCTTTAGCAGATGCTATTCAAATCGGCGGCAGGGCCAGTGGTTGTGCTGAGACTCGCCACTGCCCAGGCCGCTGGGCCTGAGTGTTGCCTTCGCTGCCATGGACGCCAGTGGGCACTGACAGACCTATGGAGAGTTGGGGTGTGCCTCCCAGGCCTTATCTGGCCACCAAACTGGAATGCCCTTCAGGCGGGCATGTATTATTCGTCCTACTTTACCAGTGTGGACACTGAGGCTCACAGACGTTAAATCCTTCTAAAGACACATCTACAGCAAGTGGCAGAGCTAGAATTCAGATCTTCCTGGTATGGCGATCTTACATGGATTCTGCTACTTATGGAATGAAATTACCACATCTTTTCGAGCAGGAATGCCTCTAAGAAAACACAGACAACACTTTAAAAAATATGGCAGTTGTTTCACAGCAGGAGAAGCAGTGGATTGGCTTTATGACCTATTAAGAAATAATAACAGTTTTGGTCCTAAAGTTACAAGACAACAGACTATCCAACTGTTGAGGAAATTTCTTAAGAATCATGTAATTGAAGATATCAAAGGCAGGTGGGGATCAGAAAATGTTGATGGTACTAACCAGCTCTTCAGATTTCCTGCAACTTAGCCATTTAAAACTCTGCCACGAAGACATCCAGAATTGAGAAAAAACAACATAGAGAACTTTTCCAAAGATAAAGATAGTATTTTTAAATGATGAAACTTATCTCATAGAACTCCTAAAAAGCATGGATTACATTTATCTCAGGAAAATTCCGAGAAAATAAAGCATGAAATAATCAATGAAGATCAAGAAAATGCAGTTGATAATAGAAAACTAAGCCAGGAAGATGTTGAAGAAATTTGGAGATATGTTATTCTGATCTACCTGCAAACCATTTTAGGTGTGCCATCCCTAGAAGAAGTCATAAATCCAAAACAAGTAATTCCCCAATATATAATGTACAACATGGCCAATACAAGTAAACATGGAGTAGTTACACTACAAAACAAATCAGATGACCTCCCTCACTGGGTATTATCTGCCATGAAGTGCCTAGCAAATTGGCCAAGAAGTGATGATACGAATAATCCAACTTATGTTGGATTTGAACAAGATATATTCAGCACAATCACAGATTATTTTCTAGATCTCCTTGAACCTCTCCTTACTTTTGAATATTATGAATTATTTGTGAACATTTTGGTTGTTTGTGGCTATGTCATAGTTTCAGATAGATCCAGTGGGATACATAGAATCCAAGATGATCCACAGTCTTAAAAATTCCTTCACAATTTGAATTCCTTCAAATCAATGGAGTGCCTTCTTCTCAGTCTGCTTCATAGAGAAAAAAGAAGAATAAGATTCTACTGAGAGACTACGGATAAGCAATCCAGGATTTCAAGAAAGATGTGCTAAGAAAATGCAGCTAGTTAATTTAAGAAACAGAGGAGTGAGTGCTAATGACATAATGGGAGGAAGCTGTCATAATTTAATAGGGTTAAGTGGTATGCATGATCTGTCCTCTAATAGCAAACCAAGTTGCTGTTCTTTGGAAGGAATTGTAGATGTGTCAGGGAATTCAAGTAAAGAGGCATCCAGTGTAAAGAGGCATCAATCTTTTCCAAACATAGAAGGACAAAATACTAAACTGTTTTTAGAGTCTAAGCCCAAACAGGAATTCCTGTTGAATCTTCATTCAGAGGAAAATATTCAAAAGCCATTCCGTGCTGGTTTTAAGAGAACCACTACTTTGACTGCTCAAGACCAAGAGGAGTTGTGTAATGGGAAATGCAAGTCAAAACAGCTTTGTAGGTCTCAGAGTTTGCTTTTAAGAAGTAGTACAAGAAGGAATAGTTGTATCAACACACCAGTGGCTGAAATGATCATGAAACCAAATGTTGGACAAAGCAGCACAAGTGTGCAAACAGCTATGCAAAGTG
Organism: Homo sapiens; assembly: GCF_000001405.40. Lineage (NCBI taxonomy): Eukaryota > Metazoa > Chordata > Mammalia > Primates > Hominidae > Homo > Homo sapiens. Next base: position 105,759,971 of record NC_000009.12, read on the forward strand.
AACTCGGAGAGTCTAGTGCTGCAATCAATAAAAGACTCTGCAAAAGTTCAATAGAATTTTCAGAAAATTCTTTACTTCCAGCTTCTTCTGTGTTGACTGGTACACGAAGTTTGCTGCAACCTCATTTAGAGAGGGTTGCCATCGATGCGCTACAATTGTGTCGTTTGTTACTTCCGCCACCAAATTGTAGAAAGCTTCAACTTTTAATGCGTATGATTTCCCAAATGAGTCAAAATGTTGATATGTCCAAACTTCATGATGCAATGGGCATGAAATCACCGATGATACATACCTTTTCTCGATGTGTGCTATGCTGTGCTGAAAAAGTGGATCTTGATAAGCTTCTGGCTGGAAGATTAGTTTCTTTCTTACTGGATCATCATCAGGAAATTCTTCAAGTACCAACTTATTTACAGACTGCAGTGGAAAAACATCTTGAATACTTAAAAAAGGGACATATTGAAAATCCTGGAGATGGACTATTTGTTCCTTTGCCAACTTATTCATACTGTAAGCAGATTAGTGCTCAGGACTTTGAAAAGCAAAAAGTTTCTACCTCTCAAGCTGCAGTTACAGAACTTATAGAAAATGTTATTAAAAACAAGAGTTTACCTCTAAAGGAGAAAAGAAAAAAACTAAAACAGTTTCAGAAGGAATACCCCTTGATATATCAGAAAAGATTTCCAACCACGGAGATTGAAGCAGCACTTTTTGGTGACAAACCTACAATCAAGCAACCAATGCTGATTTTAAGAAAACCAAAGTTTTGTAGTCTAAGATACTAACTGAATTAAAAATTATGTAATACTTGTGGAACTTTGATAAATGAAGCCATATCTGAGAATGTAGCTAATCAAAAGGAAGTCTGTTATTAATAAGGTATTTCTAAATAAGCACATTATGTAAGGAAGTACCAAAATAGTTGTTTATCAATGTGAGACTCCTAGGAGACTAACTAGATCTCAACTGAGAACACGTAACAATAGGTGATACCAAATACTTTTTGTTTTTAACACAGCTATCCAGTAAGGCTATCATGATATGTGCTAAAATTTTATTTGCTTGAATTTTCAAAATTGAGCTATGTTCATCAAGATTAAACTATAATTCTGTTTTTAAAAGAAAATTTATCTGCATATGTGCAAGTTCTGAGATATTAGCTAATGAATTAGTTGTTTGGGGTTACTTCTTTGTTTCTAAGTATAAGAATGTGAAGAATATTTGAAAACTCAGTGAGATAATTCTCAGCTGCCAAATGTTGCACTCTTTTGTATATTCTTTTTCCACTTTTGATCTATTTATATATATGTATGTGTTTTTAAAATATGTGTATATTTTATCAGATTTGGTTTTGCCTTAAATATTATCCCCAACTGCTTCAGTCATTCATTTGTTTAATATATATATGTTTTGAATTCTAATTTGCATAATCTATTAGAAGATGGGGACGTAAAAGAAGTATAAGGCAATCATATATTCATTTAAAAGATACTTATTTAGCAACTGCTATGTGCCTTTCATTGTTCCAGATATGCGGAGACAGTGATAAATAAAACATATAATCTCTTCTGTAAGGTATTTATTTTTAATCAAGGGAGATACACCTATCAGATGCTTAAAATAACAACATTACCTACTGCAATCAGGGCATATAGAATCATTCAGCCTAAGACTGACTTCTATGATGATGGAACAGGTCTCTAAGCTAGTGGTTTTCAAATTGGTGCACATTAGACTCACCCGAGGAGTTTTAAAACAGCCTATATGCCCAGGGCCTAACTTATACTAATTAAATCTGAATTTTAGGGATGTTGTCTAGGGATTAGTATTTCTTTTAATCTAGGTGATTCCAGTATTCAGCCAACTGTGAGAATCAATGTCCTAAATGCTTTTTATAAACATTTTTATAAGTGTCAAGATAGTGGCACATTGACTTTATTTTTTCATTAGAAGAAAATGCTTGCCGAGTATAAATGCCTCTCATCTTAAAACAAGGTTCTTCAGGTTTCTGCTTGATCGACTTGGTACAAACTTGAAGCAAGTCGCCTTCTATTTTTTACTCCAAGGTTGTTTAATATCTATTCCTTAAGTGTAAAGAAATATATAATGCCTGGGTTGCAATAAAATCTTAATGTTTAATGACTATTCTCATTTCTCAATATAATTTCATAATATTTCTCTATAAAGTGATAGTGTTCCATTTAACATTACTGATTTTTATTAAAAATCTGGACAGAAAATTATAAATATGACTTTATCCTAGAAACTGGCTATAAATTTTTTTTTTAAATTTATTATTATTATACTTTAAGTTTTAGGGTACATGTGCACAATGTGCAGGTTAGTTACATATGTATACATGTGCCATGCTGGTGCGCTGCACCCACTAACTCATTATCTAGCATTAGGTATATCTCCCAATGCTATCCCTCCCCCCTCCCCCCACCCCACAACAGTCCCCAGAGTGTGATGTTCCCCTTCCTGTGTCCATGTGTTCTCATTGTTCAGTTCCCACCTATGAGTGAGAATATGCGGTGTTTGGTTTTTTGTCCTTGCGATAGTTTACTGAGAATGATGATTTCCAATTTCATCCATGTCCCTACAAAGGACATGAACTCATCATTTTTTATGGCTGCATAGTATTCCATGGTGTATATGTGCCACATTTTCTTAATCCAGTCTATCATTGTTGGACATTTGGGTTGGTTCCAAGTCTTTGCTATTGTGAATAATGCCGCAATAAACATACATGTGCATGTGTCTTTATAGCAGCATGATTTATAGTCCTTTGGGTATATACCCAGTAATGGGATGGCTGGGTCAAATGGTATTTCTAATTCTAGATCCCTGAGGAATGGCCACACTGACTTCCACAATGGTTGAACTAGTTTACAGTCCCACCAACAGTGTAAAAGTGTTCCTATTTCTCCACATCCTCTCCAGCACCTGTTGTTTCCTGACTTTTTAATGATTGCCATTCTAAGTGGTGTGAGATGGTATCTCATTGTGGTTTTGATTTGCATTTCTCTGATGGCCAGTGATGGTGAGCATTTTTTCATGTGTTTTTTGGCTGCATAAATGTCTTCTTTTGAGAAGTGTCTGTTCATGTCCTTTGCCCACTTTTTGATGGGGTTGTTTGTTTTTTTCTTGTAAATTTGTTTGAGTTCATTGTAGATTCTGGATATTAGCCCTTTGTCAGATGAGTAGGTTGTGAAAATTTTCTCCCATTTTGTAGGTTGCCTGTTCACTGTGATGGTAGTTTCTTTTGCTGTGCAGAAGCTCTTTAGTTTAATTAGCTCTCATTTGTCAATTTTGGCTTTGGTTGCCATTGCTTTTGGTGTTTTAGACATGAAGTCCTTGCCCATGCCTATGTCCTGAATGGTAATGCCTAGGTTTTCTTCTAGGGTTTTTATGCTTTTAGGTCTAACGTTTAGCACCAATCCCACAGAAATACAAACTACCATCAGAGAATACTACAAACACCTCTATGCAAATAAACTAGAAAATCTAGAAGAAATGGATAAATTCCTCGACACATACACTCTCCCAAGACTAAACCAGGAAGAAGTTGAATCTCTGAATAGACAATAACAGGAGCTGAAATTGTGGCAATAATCAATAGCTTACCAACCAAAAAGAGTCCAGGACCAGACAGATTCACAGCCGAATTCTACCAGAGGTACAAGGAGCAACTGGTACCATTCCTTCTGAAACTATTCCAATCAATAGAAAAAGAGGGAATCCTCCCTTACTCATTTTATGAGGCCAGCATCATCCTGATACGAAAGCTGGGCAGAGACACAACCAAAAAAGAGAATTTTAGACCAATATCCTTGATGAACATTGATGCAAAAATCCTCAGTAAAATACTGGCAAACCGAATCCAGCAGCACATCAAAAAGCTTATCCACCATGATCAAGTGGGCTTCATCCCTGGGATGCAAGGCTGGTTCAATATACGCAAATCAATAAATGTAATCCAGCATATAAACAGAACCAATGACAAAAACCACATGATTATCTCAATAGATGCAGAAAAGGCCTTTGACAAAATTCAACAACCCTTCATGCTAAAAACTCTCAATAAATTAGGTATTGATGGGACGTATTTCAAAATAATAAGAGCTATCTATGACAAACCCACAGCCAATATCATACTGAATGGGCAAAAACTGGAAGCATTCCCTTTGAAAACTGGCACAAGACAGGGATGCCCTCTCTCACCACTCCTATTCAACATAGTGTTGGAAGTTCTGGCTAGGGCAATTAAGCAGGAGAAGGAAATAAAGGGTATTCAGTTAGGAAAAGAGGAAGTCAAATTGTCCCTGTTTGCAGACGACATGATTGTATATCTAGAAAACCCCATTGTCTCAGCCCGAAATCTCCTTAAGCTGATAAGCAACTTCAGCAAAGTCTCAGGATACAAAATCAATGTACAAAAATCACAAGCATTCTTATACACCAACAACACACAAACAGAGAGCCAAATCATGAGTGAACTGCCATTCACAATTGCTTCAAAGAGAATGAAATACCTAGGAATCCAACTTACAAGGGATGTGAAGGACCTCTTCAAGGAGAACTGCAAACCACTGCTCAAGGAAATAAAAGAGGATACAAACAAATGGAAGAACATTCCATGCTCATGGGTAAGAAGAATCAATATCGTGAAAATGGCCATACTGCCCAAGGTAATTTACAGATTCAATGCCATCCCCATCAAGCTACCAATGACTTTCTTCACAGAATTCGAAAAAACTACTTTAAAGTTCATATGGAACCAAAAAAGAGCCCGCATCGCCAAGTCATCCTAAGCCAAAAGAACAAAGCTGGAGGCATCACACTACCTGACTTCAAACTATACTACAAGGCTACAGTAACCAAAACAGCATGATACTGTTACCAAAACAGAGATATAGATCAATGGAACAGAACAGACCCCTCAGAAATAACGCCGCATATGTACAACTGTCTGATCTTTGACAAACCTGAGAAAAACAAGCAATGGGGGAAGGATTCCCTATTTAATAAATGGTTCTGGGACAACTGGCTAGCCATATGTAGAAAGCTGAAACTGGATCCCTTCCTTACACCTTATACAAAAATCAATTCAAGATGGATTAAAGAAACTGGCTATAAAATTATTGGACCAAATTGAATTCTTTCTAAGGCATTTGTATGCTGAAACTTTTTTTGTTTATAGATTTGTAAAATGTGGATTATTTTGCAAATTGAGATTAAAATTATTTGGGGTTTAGTTACAATTTAAAAAATGCTTTAGCAAAGTAGCATTTAATATTTATTGACGAAATCATTAGAAATGAGCTCCTTTAAAAATTTTTAAAAGTCAACTTTTTAGAAGTATAATTTATGCATATTAAACTATATTCATGGATAATAAAGTACATTCAGTCTAGGAGTACATTTTGATGAGTTTTGACAAATTTGTATACCTGTGTAACTACTACCACAGTCAATGTATGAAACATTTCTATCACTTTGGAGCATTTCCTTGTACCTTACTCTAGTAAATCCCAGCCACTACCCATAGCCCCAGTATACCATTTATCCACTTTATATCACTACAGATTAGTGTTTTCTGTAGTTTCATATGGAGTCATATAGTATGTACTCATTTTGTTTTTGAGATTTATCCATGTAATTACATATTCCTGAGTAGTATTAGGTACCACAATTTGTTTTTCCAGTTATCTGTTGATGGGTTTTGGTGTATTTCCAGCTTTTGATTATTTGAATAAGGTTGTTATAAATAAAGCTGCTATGAATATGTGTACATATATGTCTGTACACAGACACATATTTTCTTTTTTTTCTTTTTTATTTTTTTTGAGACGGAGTCTTGCTCTGTCACCCAGGCTGGAGTGCAGTGGTGTGATCTTGGCTCACTGCAACCTCCGCCGCATGGGTTCAAGTGATTCTCCTGCCTCAGCTTCTCGAGTAGATGGGAATATAGGTGTATGCCACCACGCCTGGCTAATTTTTCATATTTTTAGTAGAGACGGGGTTTCACCATATTAGCCAGAATTGTCTCAATCTCCTGACCTCATGATCCGCCTGCCTCGGCCTCCCAGTGCTGGAATTACAGGCGTGAGCCACTGTGCCCAGCCAGACATGTATTTTCGTTTCACTTAATAACTAGGAGGAGAATTGCTAGGTCATCTGAAAAGCATATGTTTAACTTTTTAAGAAACTGCCACACTATTTTTCAAAATGGTTGTATCATTTTACATTCCCACTAGCAATGTATGAGAGTTCTGATTGTCCTAGATCCTTGTTAATTATTTGGTATTATCAGTCATTTTAATTTTAGCGTTTTGTAGGTATGAAGTGATATCGCATTATAGTTTTCTTTTGCATTTCTGTGATGGCTAGAGATTTGAGCGTCTTTTCGTGTGTTTACTGGCCACTCACATGTGATCTTTTGAATAGTGTCTGTTTAAATATTTTGTCCATTAAAAATTGTATTATTATTGAGTTGTAACAGTTCTCTGTATATTCAGGATGTCAATCCTTGGTGAGATATATGTATTGCAAATAATTTTCTCCCAGTTTATGCTCTTCCTTTTTCTTTGTTTAGTGTTGTCTTTAGAAGAGCTGAAGTTTTAAATTTTGATGAAGTTTACTTTACTAGATTTTCCTTTCATGGCCCTTCTTTTTGTGTCCTATTAAGAAACTATTTTATTCCTCAAGGTTTTGAAGAGTTTTCACCTGTTTCTTCTAAAAGTTTTATAATTTTTGCTTTTTTTTCTGTTTTTTTTTATTATTATACTTTAAGTTCTGGGATACATGTGCACAATATACAGGTTTGTTACATATGTATACATGTGCCATGTTGGTGTGCTGCACCCATTAACTAGTCATTTACATTAGGTATATCTCTTAGTGCTATCCCTCCCCCCTCCCCCCACCCCACGACAGGCCCCGGTGTGTGGTGTTCCCCACCCTGTGTCCAATTGTTCTCATTGTTCAATTCCCACCTATGAGTGAGAACATGCGGTGTTTAGTTTTCTGTCCTTGCGATCGTTTGCTCAGAATGATGGTTTCCAGCTTCATCTATGTCCCTACAAAGGACATGAACTCATCCTTTTTACTTTTAGAGTCTGTGAACCATTTCAAATTAAGTTTTATGAGTCCTACAAGGTAAGGGTCAGGTTTTTTTTTTTTCCTCCATATGAGTAGGAAGTTGTTACAACACTGTTTGTTGAAAAGACAGTTCTTTCCCTCATTGAATGATCTTGCCACCTTTGTTGAAAATCAGTTGGCTTGACCTATGTGGGTCTATTTCTAGACTATATTCTGTTCTATTGATTTATATGTCTATTTCTAGCCAATACTAAACTGTCTTAATTACCATAACTTTATAGTAAGTCTTAAAATCAAGTAGTACAGTTTCTCCAACTTTATTTTCTCAATATTTCTTAGGATAGTCTACATCTTTTATATTTCTAAATAAGTTTTATGATAAAGTTGTCACTTCCTATGGAAAAAACGCCTTCTGGAATTGTTTTTGAGATTGCATCTATAGATTAATTTGGGAAGAAATCAGATCTTAAAAAGATTTAGTCTGTTGATCTCTGAACATGGTATGTTTCTCCAGTTATTTAGGCCTTTAAATTTTTGGAGTACTATTTTGTGGTCTTCATTGTTTTATATGTATCTTGTTAAATTTAAATTTATCCTGAAGTAGTTCATATTTTTGGATGCCTTTAGAAATAGTAGTTTTTCAAATTTCAATTTGGAATTTTACATTGCTTCTATGTACATTGCTTGTAAGAATAATCTTACACATTGTTCTTGTATCCTGTGACCTTGCTAAATTGCCTGTTGGTTCTGGTAGCTTTTGTGTAGATTCTTTAGCATTGTCTATATACATGGTTTTGTCTATGATAAAGATAGTTTTACTTTTTCCTTTTCAACCCGGATGCTGTTTTTTTCCTTGCCTTATTATATTGGCTAGAATGTCCTGTACAATGTTGAAGAGAAATGGTGAGAGTAGACATCTTTGTTTTGTTTGTGACCTTAGTGGGAAAACATTCAGCCTTTTAACTTAAATAAGATATTAGCTATTAAGCATCTTATAGATATCCTTTATGAGGTTAAGGAAGTTCTCTTTTATTTCTAGTTTGCTGAAAGTGTTTATCATGAATGGGTGTGGGATTTTGTCAAATGCTTTCTTCTGTATCATTTAAAATAATCATAGGGGTTTTCTCTTATATTCTGTTAATATAGTGGATTACATTGATTGATTATTAAAATGTTACATAAATCTTTCATTCCTGTGATAAACCCCATTTAGTCATGATGCGGTATCCTTTTTGCATATTACTGAATCCATTTTTTAAAATATTTTCAAGGATTTTTTTCCAGTGTGCTAATGGATATTGGTTTGTAGTTTTCTCTGTAATTTTTTTCTCCTTTTTGTATTAACATAAAATTGGGCTCATTAAATAAATGGAAAATAATTTCTCTAATCTCTGAGTTTATGTAGGTTTGATATTATTTATTGGTAAATGTTTGATAGATTCACTAATGAAGTCATTTGGGCCTAGAATTTTCTTTAAAGGAAGGTTTTTGATAACAATTTCTTACATAGATATAGGGCTATGCAGATTTTCTATTTTACTTGTGTCTGTTTTACTAAGTTGTATTTATTACGGAATTTGCCATTTCACTTAAGTTTTTTATTGTTGGCATGAAATTGTTGATAATAGTTTTTTGTTATCCCTTTAATGTCTGTAGAATTTGTGGTAATGTCTCCACTTTCATTCCTGATATTGGTGATCTGTGTTTTCTTTTTCTGTCTTTTAAAATCACTCTACCTAGAGGTTTGTCAGTTTCATGGATTTGTTTCAAAGACCCAGCTTTTGGTTTCATTGGTTTTTCTGTTTTAGATTTCATTAATTTCAGGTCTTTTTTATATCCTTCCTTCTGTTTACTTTGGGGTTTACTTGGTTCTTCCTTTACTATAAAGAAAATATTGATAAATTTGACTCCATAAATTGTTTTTTAAAGTTGCATGGCAAAAGCCACTGTGGACAAAGTCAAAATATAGCTATCAAATAGCTGTGATAAAATACTTACAACATATATCAGAGGGCTGGTATGCCTGATATATAACAACCTCTTAAAAATTAAGGGATAAAGGACCAAAACCTGATGGAAAAGTTAAAGGAAAGTTATCAACAGACAATTCACACAGAAAAGATCAGGAAATGTTCCTCAAACATATTAAAAAATGTGGAACTCATACTTGAGAAACATTAATTAAAATAACACTGAGATACCATTTCTCATTCATCAAAACTGGCACAAAATTTTAAATTTGTATTTTATTTTAGTTTTGAGACAGGGTCTCGCTCTGTCACTCAGGCTGGAGTGCAGTGGCATGATCACGGCTCACTGCAGCCTTGACTTCCCAGGCTCAAGTGATCTTCCCACCTCAGCCTCCTGAGTAGTTGGGACTACAGGTGTGTGCCACCATGCCTGGCTAATTTTTGTATTTTTTGTACAATTTTGGTTTCACTATGTTGCCCAGGCTGGTCTCAAACTTGGACTCAAGCAACCTTCCCGCAAACGAAAAATTTACAAGTCTGGCTACACATTCTGTTGATGAGGCTGTGGAGAATCAGGCACTCCTGCAAATGTTCTTTTTCAGTGTTTTCTGGATTTCTTCTGTGTTTGTGTTTTTTCAATATATTTTTAGCTATTCTTGTATATTGATATGAACTTTAATAGTTTGTCTAGCTCTGTAAAAAACCATGTTGATATTTTTATTGCAATTGTGTTTATTGTTTATTGCAATTTATAAGCTAATTTAGGGAGGCAGTTATAGGAAGAAAAGCATGGAATGAGACAGGAGTGAGGACAGAGCCATAAAGTTCTCTAATATTTAGAGAAGGGAAATCTAGAATGGGAAATGGAAAAGGGGTGGTTGATGAGAGTTTTAAGGAGGAGGAGATAGTTTTAAAGAGCGTAGATGTGCTGAATACTGATGAGAAGTGTCTTCAGGTAATGTATTGTTTAATACATGAATGAGGGACACTGTTCTTAGGCCCTTTTGGGGATCCAAATAATCATATATACATTGAATAAGGTGTAATGTATACATTTTATTCATTGATGTATTGAATAAGATGTATTATTGAACACATGAATGAGGGACACTGTTCTTAGGTGCTTTTGGGGATATGAATGATTATATAAACATTGAATAAGACCCAAATCCTATTCTTAAGACATTATTGTCTAAAAAGGAGCAGGAGATATGCTAACTTGACTTTTAAACTTTATGAGGAGAGGTACTAAGTTTGCAGTATTCATCACTGCATCCTTAGCATTGAGTCTAGTGTATATAGTTGATTTTTAATATATATTTGTTGACTGACTAATAAATGATCAAAATGCTCTTTCACAGGTTTATTTAATTATTCCACACTTAAAGATATACATTGAATAAGGTATAATGTATACATTTTATTCATTGATGCATTGAATATTATTCCACACTTAAAGATATATACCAGAAATGAACAGTTCATTCACCTAGGTTTTTTTTTACATTTGTAAAAATGTAAACCCTATGATTTTAATTTATTTGAATCATTCATGTTAATAATTAGCGAAGTCTGAGGGAATAACATAATCTATGGAGAAAGCATAGAGTGATCAGAAAACCTACTTGAATATGCCATGTGCCGTTAGGGATTCATTTTAGGGCCAGGTGACTTTCATTGGAAGATACTGATAAGGGCCTATTGGAATAGACACGAGTTACACTGAAAAGGATTATTTGAATTTGGGCAGGTGGAGACAGGAAGAAGTATGTTCTGGATGAAGAGAGAGATTAATTGTGCAAATTTTTCTTTTATAGATATATTTCAGTATGCTTTGAATTATTGCTATGAAGTAGATGTTATATTTATTCATTCAGTGTATTCTCAGTGCTAGGCACTATAGAGAATATCAAAGTAGGTATAAGTGCCATATTGTGTGTCACATTTTACTGGACATTTTGAAATGGTGTAACTTGAGATATAAAGAATGTGGCAGAGCTTTAAACAAATTTCTTTACCTGAATTAATTTATATTTTGGGATATGTTAAAAATGCCAAAATATTTTTAGGGCTTCTATTTTCTTTTGTTTCATCTCCTTTTTAAGTAAGAGACTATGAAGCCAAATACTATTTAATTTAGGTAATATACTTTTTCTTTTAATAGTTTGCTAAATAAGGAGACAGTTTTATATTTTATTTGTAAAAGAATAAGGATTTATTCTATTTGTCACAAGTACATTTGTCACCTTGTTAAATCAAGGTCTGATAAGAGGCTGAATTCACAAAATTTTGTCCTTGAACTTCATGTGTCTATCTCAGCTGTAATTTCTGATGCCAGCAATACTTCTCAACTGAGTGATGAGTCTTTTGGGAGTGGAGATTCTATTAAAACACTTGAGTTTGAAAAATACTTATTATAGTTCATGTTCTCAGAAAATATTTTAAACCCTGACACTCTTCTCTTTTGGATTTTGTAAAAAAGACGTTGCTGTTTTCCTGACAGTAGACCATTGTTTTTGATTGGAATTCTATTATCTTTTATTTGCAGTTCCTTAAGTCAAGCTATGACCAAGGTAATTATGCTAGTGTATCTCATTGTAACTATTTATTCTAAGGAATAATTTAATATAAAAAAGTCCTTAGATCTTATCCAATAATGGCATAAACTTGGAGGTTAATGTTATATTTGGACTCCTCGTTTTACATTCTCTCCAGGTGTGTACACTCATTTATGCATTTACCTTTCGCTTGTATGATAAATGACTTCCAGATCTATATCTATTATTTAAATGTTCCTGGGAAATCTCTATTACTGCCCTTTCTCTTCTTTACTGTTTGGTAATTACTGATTTACTTGCCTGTCTCTGGCTAGTCTGTAAGCTCCTTGAGGGCAGGGATTACATTCAACATCTTCTGGAAGACAGTTAATGCACAAGCAGAATATTTTAATCATATTGTTAGTTTTAGACTTAGTGCTGTATTGTACTTCAGTTTGCCCTTCTACAGTGTAACCCTTTTGGGGTCTTACTTTAAGCCTGAAGTACATCCCTGGGCAGTTTCACCTTGTCTGACCTTGAATTCCAACTTATCTTCCCAGTACCAGGCAGCTGGCTGCTAAAGTATCTGCTCAGCTCTTTGGCCTCTCAGCTATTGCTGTCTGCTAGGCTTTTGGATTCTCATCCTTCTTATGTATGCAGAGTTTAGGGATTGGTAAATTCCCCCAGGGCAAATTGCACGAGGATTTTAGGGCTCACTTCCATGCGACATCCTCCTCTTTGGGCTGTATTGACCTCAGGTCCTTACAGCTTTGGCCTTCTCACATTCCAACCTATGGCTCCTTATCCCCCCTGGACTTCTGCTTTCTATTCCCCTGTGCTGTGAATTTAGGTACATATCTTCACAAGAAAAAGCAAGGGTAAATGTGGAACTCACTTTATTCAGCTTTTTTTCTCTTGAATAGTAGCCCCATCAGGTTCTGCCTATTTCAGTTGTTTCCCAGTGTCTTTTAGCAGTTACTTTATGTACTTCTGTCTTTTGTTGATTTTGGTGAGAGACTGAGTCCTGATATAAGCTATTTAATCATGACTGGCCTGAAGTCCATGGGCATGTATTTAAAAAAATTTTTTTTTTAAAAATTGAGTTCAAATTCACATAAAATTAGCTGTTTTAAAATACACATTTCAGTGACGTTTAGTACTCTCACAATGTTGTGTGTGGATGTGTTTTTAATTTATATAAATGATAGTACACTATGGCTCTTGTTTTGTGTCTCATTTTCACCTAACAGTATGTTCTAAGAATTTTTCACTTTTTCTTTTCTATTCTAAATATTGCATAGCATGCATTTAACTTATCTATTCCTTTTGTGATGAATATATACTTTTCTTCCACCTCCCCACACTGTATTGCAACTAGTAAGAATTTATTCTTGATACCATTTTCCCCAAGCAGGTAGGTTATGTAGGGGTCTTCTTTGAAAATTTGATCCCCAGAATTTCTAGTTTAAGTCATTATCTGTGTTCTGGAGGAACTGACTCTTGGGGAAATTCCTGGATTCTTTGGAGCTGTTCTAGACTTGAAAGTTCTCCTCCCAGATTTATTTTGGCATTAGCCTAATTTCTTGAGTATATCTAAACATCTGTGAACACTGTGCATTTTGCCACATAAAGGAATAGGAGCACTCTCTACCCCTTGAGGTCTTGGTTCCTTTATATAAAAATATATGTGGAAAAAATTGGGGGACATTCTACAATCTGTTGAGGGTAGCATTCTGCAAGTCACTAAAAGTCTGTGACTTTAGATGATGATAGTCAGTGTATTTAGTAATCGAACTCAGAATCTGGATATTGCAAACTTCTTTACCACTTATTAGCTTTGTGATTTTGGGCAAGTTATTTAACCTCTCAGAGCCTTGGTTCCACATCTCAATGATGAGGGTAATAATAGAATAGTTGTTGGGTTAAAGTTAAAGAGAACGACAATGTAAAGCACTTATCTTCGTTCTGACACATGTTAAATGCATAGTGATGTTGATATTTTATCTTACTTCCTTTGAATACTAAATGCATTTTTGTGAAAGTGGTTATTCTACTCATTTGGCACCCCAAAATATGGTACCTTGTATTATTTTTAATGAGTTGTGTTATTTTCCATTAAGTAGAATCTCATGGAGAACAGAGATTTTACCAGAATCTAGCTTAGATTGCTTCCCCTGCAGATTACATTAATAATGCATTTTGATTTTTTTTCCTTTTGTTTCTCTCTCTTGAGAAACAGAAATCATTTGTATTTAAATTCAAAATTAAACTTTTTTCCCCCAGATAACCATGATGACTACACAGACTTCTACTATGACATTTGCTCCTTTTGAGGATACATTGAGTTGGATGCTATTTGGCTGGCAGCAGCCGTTTTCATCATGTGAGAAGAAAAGTGAAGCAAAGTCACCTTCCAATGGCGTTGGGTCATTGGCCTCAAAGCCGGTAGATGTTGCCTCAGATAATGTTAAAAAGAAACATACTAAGAAGAATGAATAAATTTACGTGATGAGCTCTACAAGGCCAAAAATTTTTTTTCTTATCTACCTGTTATATTGTGCTAATTTTTCTATGTATGTGATGTGAAATGAAGACTATATATATGGAATGGAGGTGACAGAAAGAAAGAAATTCTTTGTTTGAGGGAGACTTCCCCTTTCTGGATTGTATTTGTAGAGTGTTACGAGTGTATCATGTGATTATGCTTTACCGGTATAAGAGATTCTGTTGTGATTATTTGAATAGTTTTATATTAATAAAAGAAGACAAAATTTTTTAAATGTTAGAAAAAGCAGATCTGTCATTGCAAAGTAACAAAAATTTTAAGCTTTTAAAAATGTAGATTTTTCATATTTTTAAAATTTGAATCTATTTGAGCTTTAGTTCAGCAGAATTAAATTTTTACTTGACATTATCATTAAAATTGCTAGGTATGGAGAACAATTCCTATTTTATTTTGAACACTGAGAAGAGTAAACTTTTCCTAAAACACTTTATATTATAAATGAAAATAAATTGCTAGTTTATATTTTAGATATAAACATCATATTTTTTATTAATACCTACATCAAATGGAAAATATCTGAAATTTTTTTTCCATAGCAGGTATTTTCTACTAGAAGTAGTTTTACTACTTTTCATTTAGAACAGAGTATGAGTCTTAATCTGAAGTCTTTTTCATGCCCTTGTTTTAAAAAAACTACTTTTTTTGGCCTCAAAAAAATCAAGGGTGTAATTTTTAATAAATTGTTAATCCTATGTTTTGTAATTTTCATTTTAGGAGCTTGACTTATTTTTTTCTCTCTCATAAAAACACATTTGTTTTAATTGTAGGAGAAATTTTCTCAGCATTTTGCATGTTCTTTCTAATCTTTGTTGGTCTGAATATATTGGTAGTAATTACTGTAATTATTCAACAAAAAGCATATCCGTTCAAAAATTTTTCCACTATGTCTTTTTTCTAGTGGCTACTGTTTTAGTTTTCTAGTTGAATATCTCTGACAAGCTTTCGTATGGTTTTGTTATATTTTCATCTACATGTAATGTGTTATTAATTTTATTAAATGAAAACTAATCACCTTCATGTGGAAATGCTCTGAGAATTGTCCTTAGGCATTTGGTAGTAACCAGCTAACCAAGAAGAAACAGAGAAACCAGAACTTCATATGGCAGTCCATTTAGATGAAGAATGATGATATAAAATCTGGTTCCTTCTTAGCAAAATAAAAAACAAACAAGAAAAGATACTAAATGATGTTAATTTTCTTACTTTATGATTTAGAAGTCCAGTTATAATATTAAAACTCTGTGACATAGTTTCTTTTACCAAAACCATGAACCTACTCCCCGTATCAGGTATTTTCGATGGTTTAGAAGTACTCAAGTCACATCACATTCAAGTTAGAAGTTTTTTTTTTGTTGTTGTTATTTTAAATTTTTAACAAATATAAACACCAGCAGATACTATTACTTGCTTAAAAAATTGGGAGGGGGCACTTTTCATAGTCTTGGAATGCTAAGAAGTTTTATTTTTAATATTGTGACAGAAAGCTTTAAGTATTTAAGAGCTCTGTATTATATTTGATACTCTTACAGTTAAAAACTTTTCAAAATTAATACATTGTTAATTATTGACCAGTTTTGAAGTTTGGGTTTAACTGTAGTTGAAATGGAAGGACTCTTGTTTTACACTTGTATTAAAGATAAATTTATTAAAATAAGTTATTTAGCACCAATGGAGTATTACATTATTTTTATGTTTTATATTTTTCTTGAGGTAGAGTTTCAGAACTCATCTAGTATTTTGACTAATATAGTATATATTCAGTGATTACTGTTCAAATGGGACATTGGTAGAAACTTTATTAATCTATGCAAGTATCCTATAACCCTCAATTCAAGGCTCTTTTGTAAAAAATGTACTGGAGAACATGGCTTAGGCCTGAAACCCATCCTGAATCTATTCAGGTCACCTGTAGAGTCTTGACTTGGATTTGCAAAGCAGATTGTTAGACTCCTTACCCAATGTGAAGTGTGAATAAGGCCTATAGGCCTGCCTCACACAGCTAATCAGAGGTGGCACTGAGAAAGTCAAGTCCTAATAGGTCTCCTTAAAAAAAAAAAGGAGACAAAAAGCTGGCAAGAACATGAGCCAGCTTCCCTCAGTGCTGTCACTCTCAAGTAAAACATGGCCAAATGAATATCAAACTGGTTTATCAGATTAGTCACTCTTCCTTACTGAGGGAGTATCAAGTAAGGGCTGGAGAGAGACCAGATATGTGGAGTTGTTGGCTTTCAGTGGAAATGGTAGCCTCCCTGTGGGTAGAGACCAAAAGGTAGAGAGATGACAGAAGGGAGACTCTGATTAGTGTATTTTTTTTTTGTCTATTCCTTAAAGCCCAGACACCTTTCCATTAAAATCTACTTCAAATCACAAGTTGATTACAATTGAGTGGAACATCCCATGTTGTAAATGGAATAATGTGTTCAGAATGCTCTTTCTTTCCCCCAATAAAGCCCTTTATAGTGTTTGCCCCAGGTGTAATTCACATCCTTGGTAATATTCATTCAGTTGTTTATTCAACAAATATTGAGTACCAGTTATGGGTCAATCATTGTCCTAGGCTCTGAAGATAACAGAAAACAAGAAAAATGCTTTCTCCCTTGGAGTTTATATTCCAGTGGCGGAGAGACAGATAATAAACAAATATACTCTTGTGGTGGCAATAAAAGTTACGAGTAAATATTAAGTAGGACATAAGGATAGAAAGTGAGGGGAGTGGGATTGTTTGTTACAATAGGACTGCCAGGCCTTTCTGTTAAGATTGCATTTTAGCAGAGACCTGAAGGACATGAGGGAGCACACCATGTAGACTTGTGGGTAAATGTAAGGTTCATACTGATCCTTCATATACTTGATTTAAAGCATATATTCCCCCCAAATAATTGAATTTATTTTTATTTTTATTTTTTTTTGTTATTTTTTTTATTATACTTTAAGTTTTAGGGTACATGTGCACATTGCGCAGGTTAGTTACATATGTATACATGTGCCATGCTGGTGCGCTGCACCAACTCGTCATCTAGCATTAGGTGTATCTCCCAATGCTATCCCTCCCCCCTACCCCCACCCCACCACAGTCCCCAGAGTGTGATATTCCCCTTCCTGTGTCCATGTGATCTCATTGTTCAATTCCCACCTATGAGTGAGAATATGCGGTGTTTGGATTTTTGTTCTTGCAGTAGTTTACTGAGAATGATGATTTCCAATTTCATCCATGTCCCTACAAAGGACATGAACTCATCATTTTTTATGGCTGCATAGTATTCCATGGTGTATATGTGCCACATTTTCTTAATCCAGTCTATCATTGTTGGACATTTGGGTTGGTTCCAAGTCTTTGCTATTGTGAATAATGCCGCAGTAAACATATGGGTGCATGTGTCTTTATAGCAGCATGATTTATAGTCCTTTGGGTACATACCCAGTAATGGGATGGCTGGGTCAAATGGTATTTCTAATTCTAGATCCCTGAGGAATTGCCACACTGACTTCCACAATGGTTGAACTAGTTTACAGTCCCACCAACAGTGTAAAAGTGTTCCTATTTCTCCACATCCTCTCCAGCACCTGTTGTTTCCTGACTTTTTAATGATTGCCATTCTAACTGGTGTGAGATGGTATCTCACTGTGGTTTTGATTTGCATTTCTCTGATGGCCAGTGATGGTGAGCATTTTTTCATGTGTTTTTTGGCTGCATAAATGTCTTCTTTTGAGAAGTGTCTGTTCATGTCCTTCGCCCACTTTTTGATGGGGTGGTTTGTTTTTTTCTTGTAAATTTGTTTGAGTTCATTGTAGATTCTGGATATTAGCCCTTTGTCAGATGAGTAGGTTGCGAAAATTTTCTCCCATTTTGTAGGTTGCCTGTTCACTCTGATGGTAGTTTCTTTTGCTGTGCAGAAGCTCTTTAGTTTAATGAGATCCCATTTGTCAATTTTGTCTTTTGTTGCCATTTCTTTTGGTGTTTTGGACATGAAGTCCTTGCCCATGCCTATGTCCTGAATGGTAATGCCTAGGTTTTCTTCTAGGGTTTTTATGGTTTTAGGTCTAACGTTTAAGTCTTTAATCCATCTTGAATTGATTTTTGTGTAAGGTGTAAGGAAGGGATCCAGTTTCAGCTTTCTACATATGGCTAGCCAGTTTTCCCAGCGCCATTTATTAAATAGGGAATCCTTTCCCCATTGCTTGTTTTTCTCAGGTTTGTCAAAGATCAGATGGTTGTACATATGCGGCGTTATTTCTGAGGGGTCTGTTCTGTTCCATTGATCTATATCTCTGTTTTGGTAACAGTATCATGCTGTTTTGGTTACTGTAGCCTTGTAGTATAGTTTGAAGTCAGGTAGTGTGATGCCTCCAGCTTTGTTCTTTTGGCTTAGGATGACTTGGCGATGCGGGCTCTTTTTTGGTTCCATATGAACTTTAAAGTAGTTTTTTCGAATTCTGTGAAGAAAGTCATTGGTAGCTTGATGGGGATGGCATTGAATCTGTAAATTACCTTGGGCAGTATGGCCATTTTCACGATATTGATTCTTCTTACCCATGAGCATGGAATGTTCTTCCATTTGTTTGTATCCTCTTTTATTTCCTTGAGCAGTGGTTTGTAGTTCTCCTTGAAGAGGTCCTTCACATCCCTTGTAAGTTGGATTCCTAGGTATTTTATTCTCTTTGAAGCAATTGTGAATGGGAGTTCACTCATGATTTTGCTCTCTGTTTGTCTGTTGTTGGTGTATAAGAATGCTTGTGATTTTTGTATGTTGATTTTGTATCCTGAGACTTTGCTGAAGTTGCTTATCAGCTTAAGGAGATTTTGGGCTGAGACAATGGGGTTTTCTAGATATACAATCATGTCGTCTGCAAACAGGGACAATTTGACTTCCTCTTTTCCTAACTGAATACCCTTTATTTCCTTCTCCTGCTTAATTGCCCTGGCCAGAACTTCCAACACTATGTTGAATAGGAGTGGTGAGAGAGGGCATCCCTGTCTTGTGCCAGTTTTCAAAGGGAATGCTTCCAGTTTTTGCCCATTCAGTATGATATTGGCTGTGGGTTTGTCATAGATAGCTCTTATTATTTTGAAATACGTCCCATCAATACCTAATTTATTGAGAGTTTTTAGCATGAAGGGTTGTTGAATTTTGTCAAAGGCCTTTTCTGCATCTATTGAGATAATCATGTGGTTTTTGTCATTGGTTCTGTTTATATGCTGGATTACATTTATTGATTTGCGTATATTGAACCAGCCTTGCATCCCAGGGATGAAGCCCACTTGATCATGGTGGATAAGCTTTTTGATGTGCTGCTGGATTCGGTTTGCCAGTATTTTATTGAGGATTTTTGCAGCAATGTTCATCAAGGATATTGGTCTAAAATTCTCTTTTTTGGTTGTGTCTCTGCCCGGCTTTCATATCAGGATGATGCTGGCCTCATAAAATGAGTTAGGGAGGATTCCCTCTTTTTCTATTGATTGGAATAGTTTCAGAAGGAATGGTACCAGTTCCTCCTTGCACCTCTGGTAGAATTCGGCTGTGAATCCATCTGGTCCTGGACTCTTTTTGGTTGGTAAACTATTGATTATTGCCACAATTTCAGCTCCTGTTATTGGTCTATTCAGAGATTCAACTTCTTCCTGGTTTAGTCTTGGGAGAGTGTATGTGTCGAGGAATTTATCCATTTCTTCTAGATTTTCTAGTTTATTTGCGTAGAGGTGTTTGTAGTATTCTCTGATGGTAGTTTGTATTTCTGTGGGATCGGTGGTTATATCCCCTTTATCATTTTTTATTGTGTCTATTTGATTCTTCTCTCTTTTTTTCTTCATTAGTCTTGCTAGCGGTCTATCAATTTTGTTGATCCTTTCAAAAAACCAGCTCCTGGATTCATTAATTTTTTGAAGGGTTTTTTGTGTCTCTATTTCCTTCAGTTCTGCTCTGATTTTAGTTATTTCTTGCCTTCTGCTAGCTTTTGAATGTGTTTGGTCTTGCTTTTCTAGTTCTTTTAATTGTGATGTTAGGGTGTCAATTTTGGATCTTTCCTGCTTTCTCTTGTGGGCATTTACTGCTATAAATTTCCCTCTACACACTGCTTTGAATGCGTCCCAGAGATACTGGTATGTTGTGTCTTTGTTCTCGTTGGTTTCAAAGAACATCTTTATTTCTGCCTTCATCTTGTTATGTATCCAGTAGTCATTCAGGAGCAGGTTGTTCAGTTTCCATGTAGTTGAGCGGTTTTGAGTGAGATTCTTAATCCTGAGTTCTAGTTTGATTGCACTGTGGTCTGAGAGATAGTTTGTTATAATCTCTGTTCTTTTACATCTGCTGAGGAGTGCTTTACTTCCAAATATGTGGTCAATTTTGGAATAGGTGTCGTGTGGTGCTGAAAAAAATGTATATTCTGTTGATTTGGGGTGGAGAGTTCTGTAGATGTCTATTAGGTCTGCTTGGTGCAGAGCTGAGTTCAATTCCTGGGTATCCTTGTTGACTTTCTGTCTCATTGATCTGTCTAATGTTGACAGTGGGGTGTTAAAGTCTCCCATTATTAATGTGTGGGAGTCTAAGTCTCTTTGTAGGTCACTCAGGACTTGCTTTATGAATCTGGGTGCTCCTGTATTGGGTGCATATATATTTAGGCTAGTTAGCTCTTCTTGTTGAATTGATCCCTTTACCATTATGTAATGGCCTTCTTTGTCTCTTTTGATCTTTGTTGGTTTAAAGTCTGTTTTATCAGAAACTAGGATTGCAACCCCTGCCTTTTTTAGTTTTCCATTTGCTTGGTAGATCTTCCTCCATCCTTCTATTTTGAGCCTATGTGTGTCTCTGCACGTGAGATGGGTTTCCTGAATACAGCACACTGATGGGTCTTGACTCTTTATCCAATTTGCCAGTCTGTGTCTTTTAATTGGAGCATTTAGTCCATTTACATTTAAAGTTAATATTGTTATGTGTGAATTTGATCCTGTCATTATGATGTTAGCTGGTGATTTTGCTCGTTAGTTGATGCAGTTTCTTCCTAGTCTCGATGGTCTTTACATTTTGGCATGATTTTGCAGCGGCTGGTACCGGTTGTTCCTTTCCACGTTTAGCGCTTCCTTCAGGAGCTCTTTTAGGGCAGGCCTGGTGGTGACAAAATCTCTCAGCATTTGATTGTCTGTGAAGTATTTAATTTCTCCTTCACTTATGAAGCTTAGTTTGGCTGGATATGAAATTCTGGGTTGAAAATTCTTTTCTTTAAGAATGTTGAATATTGGCCCCCACTCTCTTCTGGCTTGTAGGGTTTCTGCCGAGAGATCCGCTGTTAGTCTGATGGGCTTCCCTTTGAGGGTAACCCGACGTTTCTCTCTGGCTGCCCTTAACATTTTTTCCTTCATTTCAACTTTGGTGAATCTGACAATTATGTGTCTTGGAGTTGCTCTTCTCGAGGAGTATCTTTGTGGCGTTCTCTGTATTTCCTGAATCTGAACGTTGGCCTGCCTTGCTAGATTGGGGAAGTTCTCCTGGATAATATCCTGCAGAGCGTTTTCCAACTTGGTTCCATTCTCCCCATCACTTTCAGGTACACCAATCAGACGTAGATTTGGTCTTTTCACATAGTCCCATATTTCTTGGAGGCTTTGCTCATTTCTTTTTATTCTTTTTTCTCTAAACTTCCCTTCTCGCTTCATTTCATTCATTTCATCTTCCATTGCTGATACCCTTTCTTCCAGTTGATCGCATCGGCTCCTGAGGCTTCTGCATTCTTCACGTAGTTCTCGAGCCTTGGTTTTCAGCTGCATCAGCTCCTTTAAGCACTTCTCTGTATTGGTTATTCTAGTTATACATTCTTCTCAATTTTTTTCAAAGTTTTCAACTTCTTTGCCTTTGGTTTGAATGTCCTCCCGTAGCTCAGAGTAATTTGATCTTCTGAAGCCTTCTTCTCTCAGCTCGTCAAAGTCATTCTCCATCCAGCTTTGTTCTGTTGCTGGTGAGGAACTGCGTTCCTTTGGAGGAGGAGAGGCGCTCTGCGTTTTAGAGTTTCCAGTTTTTCTGTTCTGTTTTTTCCCCATGTTTGTGGTTTTATATACTTTTGGTCTTTGATGATGGTGATGTTCAGATGGGTTTTTGGTGTGGCTGTCCTTTCTGTTTGTTAGTTTTCCTTCTAACAGACAGGACCCTCAGCTGCAGGTCTGTTGGAATGCCCTGCCGTGTGAGGTGTCAGTGTGCCCCTGCTGGGGGGTGCCTCCCAGTTAGGCTGCTCGGGGGTCAGGGGTCAGGGACCCACTTGAGGAGGCAGTCTGCCCGTTCTCAGATCTCCATCTGCGTGCTGGGAGAACCACTGCTCTCTTCAAAGCTGTCAGACAGGGACATTTAAGTCTGCAGAGGTTACTGCTGTCTTTTTGTTTGTCTGTGCCCTGCCCCCAGAGGTGGAGCCTACAGAGGCAGGCAGGCCTCCTTGAGCTGTGGTGGGCTCCACCCAGTTCGAGCTTCCGGGCTGCTTTGTTTACCTAAGCAAGCCTGGGCAATGGTGGGCGCCCCTCCCCCAGCCTCGCTGCCGCCTTGCAGTTTGATCTCAGACTGCTGTGCTAGCAATCAGCGAGACTCCGTGGGTGTAGGACCCTCCGAGCCAGGTGTGGGATATAATCTCGTGGTGCGCCGTTTTTTAAGCCTGTCCGAAAAGCTCAATATTCGGGTGGGAGTGACCCGATTTTCCAGGTGCGTCCGTCACCCCTTTCTTTGACTCGGAAAGGGAACTCCCTGACCCTTGTGCTTCCCAAGTGAGGCAGTGCCTCGCCCTGCTTCGGCTCGCGCACGGTGCGCGAACCCACTGTCCAGCACCCACTGTCTGGCACTCCCCAGTGAGATGAACCGGGTACCTCAGATGGAAATGCAGAAATCACCCATCTTCTGTGTAGCTCACTCTGGGAGCTGTAGACCAGAGCTGTTCCTATTCGGCCATCTTGGCTCCTCCAATTTTACTCTGTAGTTTGTAACAGACATACTTCTTAAACAATTTATTTTTTTACAGTTTTTTCTGTTGAGGTAAGGTTTGCATAAATAAAATGCACAAATAGTAAGTGTGCATACCATGAGTTTTGAAAAATGCATACAACTTTATAACCTAAACTTCTACTTAGATATGTTACTAGCACTTCTGGAAGATCCTTTCCAGTTAACTCCCCTACAACTGAACTTAATATAACTGAGTCATGCAATATGTTCTCTTTTGTGTAGATTTCTTTACAACTCAGCATAATGCCTTTGAAATCATCCGTCTTGTTGCATTTATCAGTAGTTCATTCCTTTATAATTGCTTAGTAGTTTTACTCTATGGATATACCACAATTTTTATCCATTGATGTACATCAGTTCTGTTTCTTGTTTGGAGTTATCTGAATAGGTTACTCTGAACATTTTTGTATAAGTCGTTGGTGAACATTTTGGTGAATGATTTATATTCCTTTGGGCACATACCCAGTAATGGGATTGCTGGATTGAATGGTAGTTATAAGTTCTTTGAGAAATCTCCAAACTGCTTTCCACAATGGCTGTAGTAATATACATTCCTACCAGCAGTATGTAAGTGTTCTCTTTTCTCGGCAGCCTCACCAGCATCTGTTATTTTTTTTACTTTTTAATAATTGCCTTTCTTTTTTTTTTTTTTGAGTCGCACTCTGTCACCCAGGCTGGAGTGCAATGGCACAATCTCTGCTCACTGCAACCTCCGCCTCCCGGGTTCAAGCGATTCTCCTGCCTCAGCCTCCCAAGTAGCTGGGATTACAGGGTGTGCCACCACACCTGGCTAATTTTGTATTTTTAATAGAAATGGGGTTCCACCATGTTGGCCAGGCTGGTCTTGAACTTCTGACCTCAGGTGATTCACCCACCTTGGCCTCCCAAAGTGCTGTGATTACAGGCGTGAGCCACCACACCCATCCAATAGTTGCTTTTCTGACTGATGTGAGATGGTATCTCGCTATGGGTTTGATTTCTATTTCTCTAATGGTTAGTGATATTGGGCATTTTTTCATATTTGCCACGTGTTTGTCGTCTTTTGAAAAGTGTTGAGTTCTTTGCCACCACCCTGCACCCCCCCCCCTTTTTTTTTTTTTTGAGACTGAGTCACACTCTGTTGCCCAGGCTGGAGTGCAGTGGTGCAGTGGCACAATTTTTGCTCACTGCAACTTCTGCCTCTCGAGTTCAAGTGATTCTCGTGCCTCAGCCTCCTGAGTAGTTGCGATTTCAGGCATGCACCACCGTGCCTGGCTAATTTTTGTATTTTTAGTAGAGACGGCGTTTCACCATGTTGCCCAGGCTGGTCTTGAACTCCTGGGCTCAAGCAATCCACCCACCTCGGCCTCCCAAAGTGCTGGGATTACAGGTGTGAGCCACCACCAACCCAGTCCTTTGGCCATTTTTTTTTTTTTAAGAGAAATGCTCATTTAATGCCACTGTGTTCCAAACGGAAATCTTAAGTTTTTCTGTAAGCAATGGTGAATCTCCTCATTAATGCCATCAATATATACATACATACATAACATACATACATGCATGCATATATATGTTTCAACTTCTATCTGTATCTGTCATCTAACTATATATATAGATATATAGATATTTTCATTTTAGGTTCAGGAGGTACATGTACATGTTTGATACATTTGTATATTGCATGATGCTGGGGTTTGGGGTATGATTGATCCCATCACCCAGGGTAGTTTTTTAGCATTTGCCCACTTCCAATTCTCCCCTAATAGTCCCCAGTGTCTATTGTTCCCATCTTTGTGTCCATGTGTACCAAATGCTTAGCTCCCACTTATCAGTGAGTATATATATTTGGTTTTCTGTTCCTGTGTTAATTCACTTAGCATAATGACCTCAAGCTGCATCCATGTTACTGCAAAGGACATGATTTCATTCTTTTTTACTGCTTTTTAGTATTCCATGGTGTATATGTACATTTTCTTTTTTTTTAATTACACTTTAAGTTCTAGGGTACATGTGCACAACGTGCAGGTTTGTTACATTTGTATACGTGTGCCATGTTGGTGTGCCGCACCCATTAACTCGTCATTTACATTAGGTATATCTCCTAATGCTTTCCCTCTCCTGTCCCCCAACCCCACAACAGGCCCCAGTGTGTGATGTTCCCCTTCCTGTGTCCAAGTGTTCTCATTGTTCAGTTCCCACCTATGAGTGAGAACATGTGGTGTTTGGTTTTTTGTCCTTGCAAAAGGTTGCTGAGAATGATGGTTTCTAGCTTCATCCATGCCCCTACAGAGGACATGAGCTCATCCTTTTTATGGCTGCATAGTATTCCATGCTGTATATGTGCCACATTTTCTTAATCCAGTCTATCATTGTTGGACATTTGGGTTGGTTCCAAGTCTTTGTTATTGTGAGTAGTGCCGCAGTAAACATACGTGTGCATGTGTCTTTATAGCAGCATGATTTATAATCCTTTGGGTATATACCCAGTAATGGGATCGCTGGGTCAAATGGTATTTCTAGTTCTAGATCCCTGAGGAATCGCCACACTGTCTTCACAATGGTTGAACTAGTTTACAGTCCCACCAACAGTGTAAAAGTGTTCCTATTTCTCCACATCCTCTCCAGCACCTGTTGTTTCCTGACTTTTTAATGATTGCCATTCTAACTGGTGTGAGATGGTATCACATTGTGGTTTTGATTTGCATTTCTCTGATGGCCGGTGATGATGAACATTTTTTCATGTGTCTGTTGGCTGCATAAATGTCTCTTTTGAGAAGTGTCTGTTCATATCCTTTGCATACTTTTTGATGGGGTTGTTTGTTTTTTTCTTGTAAATTTGTTTAAGTTCTTTGTAGATTCTGGATATTAGCCCTTTGTCAGATGAGTAGATTGCAAAATTTTTCTCCCATTCTGTAGGTTGCCTGTTCACTCTGATGGTAGTTTCTTTTGCTGTGCAGAAACTCTTGAGTTTAATTAGATCCCATTTGTCAATTTTGTCTTTTGTTGCCATTGCTTTTGGTGTTTTAGACATGAAGTCCTTGCCCATGCCTATGTCCTGAATGGTATTGCCTAGATTTTCTTCTAGGGTTTTTATGGTTTTAGATCTAACATTTCAGTCTTTAATCCATCTTGAATTAATTTTTGTATAAGGTGTAAGGAAGGGATCCAATTTCAGCTTTCTATGTATGGCTAGCCAGTTTTCCCAGCACCATTAAGTAGGGAATCCTTTCCCCATTTCTTTTTTTTGTCAGGTTTGTCAATGATCAGATAGTTGTAGATGTGTGGTATTATTTCTGAGGGCTCTGTTCTGTTCCATTGGTCTATATCTCTGTTTTGGTACCAGTACCATGCTGTTTTGGTTACTGTAACCTTGTAATATAGTTTGAAGTCAGGTAGCATGATGCCTCCAGCTTTGTTCTTTTGGCTTAGGATTGCCTTGGTGATGCGGGCTCTTTTTTGTTTCCATATGAACTTTAAAGTAGTTTTTTCGAATTCTGTGAAGAAAGTCATTGGTAGCTTGATGGGGATGGCATTGAATCTATACATTACCTTGGGCAGTATGGCCATTTTCACGGTATCCATTCTTCCTGTCCATGAGCCTGGAATGTTCTTTCATTTGTTTGTGTCCTCTTTTATTTCCTTGAGCAGTGGTTTGTAGTTCTCCTTGAAGAGGTCCTTCACATCCCTTGTAAGTTGGATTCCTAGGTATTTTATTCTCTTTGAAGCAATTGTGAATGGCAGTTCACTCATGATTTGGCTCTCTATTTGTCTGTTATTGGTGTATAAGAATGCTTGTGATTTTTGTATGTTGATTTTGTATCCTGAGACTTTGCTGAAGTTGCTTATCAGCTTAAGGAGATTTTGGGCTGAGACAATGGCGTTTTCTAAATATACGGTCATGTCATCTGCAAACAGGAACAATTTGACTTCCTCTTTTCCTAACTGAATACCCTTTATTTCTTTCTCCTGCCTAATTGCCCTGGCCAGAACTTCCAACACTATGTTGAATAGGAGTGGTGAGAGAGGGCATCCCTGTCTTGTGCCAGTTTTCAAAGGGAATGCTTCCAGTTTTTGCCCATTCAGTATGATATTGGCTGTGGGTTTGTTGTCATAAATAGCTCTTATTATTTTGAGATACGTCCCATGAATACCTAATTTATTGAGAGTTTTTAGCATGAAGGGTTGTTGAGTTTTGTCAAAGGCCTTTTCTGCATCTATTGAGATAATCATGTGGTTTTTTGTCTTTGGTTCTGTTTATATGCTGGATTACGTTTATTGATTTACATATGTGGAACCAGCCTTGCATCCCAGGAATGAAGCCCACTTGATCATGGTGGATAAGCTTTTTGATGTGCTTCTGGATTCGGTTTGACAGTATTTTATTGAGAATTTTTGCATCAGCGTTCATCAGAGATGTTGGTCTAAAATTCTCTTTTTTTGTTGTGTCTCTGCCAGGCTTTGGTGTATCAGGATGATGCTGGCCTCAAAAAATGAGTTAGGGAGGATTCCCTCTTTTTCTATTGATTGCTATAGTTTCAGAAGGAATGGTACCAGCTCCTCCTTGTACCTCTGGTAGAATTTGGCTGTGAATCCATCTGGTCCTGGACTTTTTTTGGTTGGTAAGCTATTAATTATTGCCTCAATTTCAGAGCCTGTTATTGGTCTATTCAGGGATTCAAGTTCTTCCTGGTTTAGTCTTGGGAGAGTGTATGTGTCCAGGAATTTATCCAATTCTTCTAGATTTTCTAGTTCATTTGCATAGAGGTGTTTAGAGTATTCTCTGATGGTAGTTTGTATTTCTGTGGGATCGATGGTGATATCCTCTTTATCATTTTTTATTGCATCTATTTGATTCTTCTCTCTTTTTCTTCTTTATTAGTCTTGCTAGCGGTCTATCAATTTTGCTGATCGTTTCAAAAAACCACCTCCTGGATTCATTGATTTTTTGAAGGGTTTTTTATATCTCTGTCTCCTTCAGTTCTGCTCTGATCTTAAGTTATTTCTTGCCTTCTGCTAGCTTTTGAATGTGTTTGCTCTTGCTTCTCTAGTTCTTTTAATTGTGATGTTATGGTGTCAATTTTGGATCTTTCCTGCTTTCTCTTGTGGGCATTTAGTGCTATAAATTTCCCTCTACACACTGCTTTGAGTGAGACCCAGAGATTCTGGTATGTTGTGTCTTTGTTCTCGTTGGTTTCAAAGAACATCTTTATTTCTGCCTTCATTTCATTATGTACCCAGTAGTCATTCAGGAGCAGGTTGTTCAGTTTCCATGTAGTTGAGCGGTTTTTAGTGAGATTCTTAATCCTGAGTTCTAGTTTGATTGCACTGTGGTCTGAGAGACAGTTTCTTATAATTTCTGTTCTTTTACATTTGCTGAGGAGTGCTTTACTTCTAACTGTGTGGTCAATTTTGGAATAAGTGTGATGTGGTGCTGTGAAGAATGTATATTCTGTTGATTTGGGGTGGAGAGTTCTGTAGATGTTTATTAGGTCCGCTTGGTGCAGAGCTGAGTTCAATTCCTGGATATCCTTGTTAACTTTCTGTCTTGTTGATCTGTCTAATGATAACATCTAATGATGTTAAAGTCTCCCATTATTATTGTGTGGGAGTCTAAGTTTCTTTGTAGATCTCTAAGGACTTGCTTTATGAATCTGGGTGCTTCTGTATTGGGTGCATATATATTTAAGATAGTTAGCTCTTCTTGTTGAATTGATCCCTTTACCATTATGTAATGGCCTTCTTTGTCTCTTTTGATCTTTGTTGGTTTAAAGTCTGTTTTATCAGAGACTAGGATTGCAATCCCTGCCTTTTTTTCTTTTCCATTTGCTTGGTAGATCTTCCTCCATCCTTTTATTTTGAGCCTATGTGTATCTCTGCACATGAGATGGGTCTCCTGAATACAGCACACTGATGGGTCTTAACTCTTTGTCCAATTTGCCAGTCTGTGTCTTTTAATTGGAGCATTTAGTCCATTTACATTTAAGGTTAATATTGTTATGTGTGTATATGATACTGTCATTATGATGTTAGCTGGTGATTTTGCTCGTTAGTTGATGCAGTTTCTTCCTAGCATCAATGGTCTTTACAATTTGGCATGTTTTTGCAGTGGCTGGTACTGGTTGTTCCTTTCCACGTTTAGTGCTTCCTTCAGGAGCTCTTTTAGGGCAGGCCTGGTGGTGACAAAATCTCTCAGCATTTGCTTGTCTATAAAGGATTTTATTTCTCCTTCACTTATGAAGCTTAGTTTGGCTGGATATGAAATTCTAGTTTGAAAATTCTTTTCTTTAAGAATGTTGAATATTGGCCCCCACTCTGTTCTGGCTTGTAGAATTTCTGCCGAGAGATCAGCTGTTAGTCTGATGGGCTTCCCTTTGTGGGTAACTCGACGTTTCTCTCTGGCTGCCCTTAACATTTTTTCCTTCATTTCAACTTTGGTGAATCTGACAGTTACGTGTCTTGGAGTTGCTCTTCTCGAGGAATATCTTTGTAGCGTTCTCTGTATTTCCTGAATGTGAATGTTGGCCTGCCTTGCTAGATTGGGGAAGTTCTCCTGGATAATATCCTGCAGAGTGTTTTCCAGCTTGGTTCCATTCTCCCTGTCACTTTCAGGTACACCAATCAGTTGTAGATTTGGTCTTTTCACATAGTCCCATATTTCTTGGAGGCTTTCTTCGTTTCTTTTTACTCTTTTTTCTCTAAACTTCTCTTCTCGCTTCATTTCATTCATTTAATCTTCAATCACTGATACCCTTTCTCCCAGTTGATCAAATCGGCTACTGAAGCTTGCGCATTCGTCATGTAGTTCTTGTGCCATGGTTTTCAGCTCCATCAGGTCATTTAAGGACTTCTCTACACTGGTTATTCTAGTTAGTCTTTCGTCTAATCTTTTTTCAAGGTTTTTAGCTTCTTTGCAATGAGTTCAAACTTCCTCCTTTAGCTTGGAGAAGTTTGATTGTCTGATGCCTTCTCTCAACTCGTCAAAGTCGTTCTCCATCCAGCTTTGTTCCGTTGCTGGCAAGGAGCTGCGTTCCTTTGGAGGGGGAGAGGTGCTCTGATTTTAAGAATTTTCAGCTTTTCTGCTCTGGTTTTTCCCCATCTTTGTGGTTTAATCTACCTTTGGTCTTTGATGATGGTGACGTACAGATGGGGTTTTGGTGTGGATGTCCTTTCTGTTTGTTAGTTTTCCTTCTAACAGTCAGAACCCTCAGCTGCAGGTCTGTTGGAGTTTGCTGGAGGTCCACTCCAGACGCTGTTTGCCTGGGTATCAGCAGCGGAGGCTGCAGAACAACGAATATTGGTGAGCAGCAAATGTTGGTGCCTGATCGTTCCTCTGGAAGCTTCATCTCAGAGGGGTACTCGGCAGTGTGAGGTGTCATTCTGCCCCTACTGGGGTGTTCCTCCCAGTTAGGCTACTCTGGGGTCAGGGACCCACTTGAAGAGGCAGTCTGTCCGTTTTCAGATCTCAAACTCCGTGCTAGGAGTACCACTACTCTCTTCCAAGCTGTGAGACGGGCATTTAAGTGTGCGGAGGTTTCGGCTGCCTTTTGTTCGGCTATGCCCTTTCCCCAGAGGTGGAGTCTACAGAGGCAGGCAGGCCTCCTTGAGCTGCGGTGGGCTCCACCCAGTTCGAGCTTCCAGGCTGCTTTGTTTACCTACTGAAGCTTCAGCCATGGTGGCCGACCTTCTCCTCAGCTTCGCTGCTGCCTTGCAGTTTGATCTCAGACTGCTGTGCTAGCAATGAGCGAGGCTCTATGGGTGTGGGACCCTCTGAGCCATGTGCGGGATATAATCTCCTGGTGTGCTGTTTGCTAAGACCATTGGAAAAGTACAGTATTAGGGTGGAAGTGACCTGATTTTCCAGGTGCCGTCTGTCACCCTTCCCTTGGCTAGGAAAGGGAATTCCCTGACCCCTTGCACTTCCCGGGTGAGGTGATGCCTCGCCCTGCTTCGGCTCACACTCGGTGGGCTGCACCTACTGTCCTGCCCCCACTGTCCAACGAGCCCCAGTGAGATTAACCCAGTACCTCAGTTGGAAATGCAGAAATCACCCGTTTTCTGCATCACTCATGCTGGGAGCTGTAGACTGGAGCTGTTCCTATTCGGCCATCTTGGAACCCTTTATTGTTTTTTGCTTGTCAATTTGTTTAAGTTCCTTGTAGATTCTGAATGTTAGACCTTTGTCAGATGCATAGTTTGCAGATATTTTCTCCCATTCTGTAGGTTGTCTGTTTACTCTCTTGATAGTTTCTTTTGTTTCCCAAGGCAGATGTCCAGAATGGTGTTTCCTAGGTTATCTTCCAGAGTTTTTAGTTTTCAGTTTTACGTTTACTTCTTTAGTCCATCTTGAGTTGATTTTTGTATATGGTAAAAGGAAGGGGTCCAGTTTTAATCTTTAGGATATGGCTAACCAGTTATCCTGACACCATGTATTAAATAGGGAGTCCTTTCCCCGTTGTTTGTTTTTGTCAACTTTGTCTAAGATTAGATGGATGTAGGTGTGCAGCTTTATTTCTGGGTTCTCCAATGTGTTCCATTCGTCTGTGTGTCTGTTTTTGTACTAGTATCATGCTGTTTTGGTTACTATAGCTTTGTAGTATAGTTTGAAATTAGATAGCGTGATGCCTCCAGCTTTGTTGTTTTTGCTTAGGATTGCTTTGGCTATTTGGGCTCTATTTTGGTTCCATATGAATTTTAGAATACTTTTTTCTAATGCTGTGAAAAATGTTGTTGGTAGTTTGATAGGAATAGCATTGAATCTGCAAATTGCTCTGGGCAGCATGGCTATTTTACCAATATTGATTCTTCCTATCCATGATCATGGAATGTTTTTCCATTTGTGTTGTCTCTGATTTCTTTCAGCAGTGTTTTGTAATTCTCACTGTAGACATCTTTCACCTTCCTGATTAGCTGTATTCCTAGGTATTTTATTATTTATTATTGTTATTTTGTGGCTATTGCAAATGGGACTGAATTCTTGATTTGGCTCTCACTTGGACATTATTGGCATCTAGAAATGCCACTAATTTTTGTATGTGATTTTGGTGCCTGAAACTTTTCTGTAGTTGTTTATCAGATCTAGGAGGCTTTCAGCAGAGACTCTGAGGTTTTCTAGGTATAAAATCATATCATCTGCAAAGAGAGACAGTTTGACTTCTTCTTTCCCTATTCAAATGTCTTTTATTTCTTTCTTTTGCCTGATTGCTCTGTCTAGGACTTCCAGTACTATGTTGAATTGGAATGGTGAGAGCAAGCATCCTTGTCTTGTTTGGTTCTTCAGGGGAATGCTTCCAGCTTTTGTCTGTTTAGTGTGATGTTGGCTGTGGGTTTGTCATAGATGGCTTTTGTTATTTTGAGGTATGTTTTTTCGATGCCTAGTTTGTTGAGGATTTTTGGCATGAAGGTATATTGAATTTTATTGAAAGTGTTTTCTGTGTCTGTTTAGATGATCATGTGTTTTTTAAGTTCTGTTTATGTGACGAGTCACATTTATTGATTTGTTTATATTGAACCAACCTTGCATCTGTGGAATAAAGCCTACTTGATCATGGTGGATTAGCTTTTTGATGTGGTGCTGGATTCCTTTTGCTAGTATTTTGTTGAGGATTTTTGTATCTGTGTTCATCATGGATATTGATGTAAAGTTTTCTTTTTTTGTGTGTTTTTGGTGGGTTTTGGTATCAGAATGATGCTTGCCTCATAGAATGAGTAAGGGAGGAGTCCCTCATTCTCAGTTTTTTGGAATAGTTTCAGAAGGAATACTACTTGTGGTATTCACAGTAATATCATTGTCTCCCCCATTGGATATTAGGAACAATTTCACAAGGGGGGTGTACACCTCTTGTGATATTGGGAGTAATATCATCCGTTTTCCCCATTGATATTAGGAAAAATATCACAGAAAAGGTGTACACCCCATGTGGTACTGGAAGTAGTATAATCCTCTCCTTTCCTAAATATTAGAAACTATATCACAGAATAAGTGTACACCTTCTCGGAAATTGGGAGTAACATCATCCTCTCCACTGCTCGATGTTAGGAACAATATTGCAGAGTGGGGGTGTACACCCCCTGCGATTTTGGGAGTAATATTATCTTCTCCGCCCCGACCCCAGATATTAGGAACAATATCACAGGAAGGTGTACACCCCCTTCGCTATTGGGAGTAATATCATCCTCTTTCTCCTTGGATATTAGGAACAGTATTACAAGATGGTGTGTACATCCCCTGCGATATCGGAAATAATATCATTCTTTCTCCCTCTTTATTTTAGGAACAATATCACAGGGGTTGTGTACACCCCCTGCGTTATTGGAATTAATGTCATCCTCTTACTGGATACTAAAAACAATATCACAGGAGGGGCGTACGCCCCCTGAGATATTGGGAGTAATATCATTTCTTCCCCCCTGGATATTAGAAATAATATCTTCGGGGGTGCACTCCCCCAGTGATATTGGGAGTAATATCATCCTCTCCCCCCTGGATATTAGAAATAATATCACAGAAGGGATGTCCACCCCCTGCAATATTGGGTATAGTATCACCCTCTCCAAACCTGGATAGTAGGAACAATGTCACAAGGGAGGTGTACACCCCCTGCTATGTTGGGGGTAATATCATCCTCTGCACCCCTGGACAGTAGGAACAATATCTCAGGTGGTGGTTACACCTCTTGCGATATTGGGAGTAATATCATTCTGTCCCCACCTGGATATTAGGAACAATATCACGGGGGGGTGTAAACCCTCTTCAATATAGGGATTAATATCATCCTCTCCCCTGTGGGATATTAGGAGCAGTATCACAGGGGGTTGTACACCTCCTGCGATATTGACAGTAATATCATAGTCTCTCTCTATAAATATTAGAAACAATATCACAAGGGGGTGTACGCCTCCTGCGATATAAGGAGGAATATCATCCTCTCCCTCCAGGGATATTAGGAACAATATCACAAAAGTGTGTACACCCAATGCAATATTGGAGTAGTATCATCCCCTCCCTCAAATATTAGGAGCAATATCACAAAGGGAGTGTACATCCCCTGCGATATTGGGAGTAATGTCATGCTCTTCCCTCTGTATTTTAGGAACAATACCACAGGGGGTTTGTACCCCATCTTCAATATTGGAAGTAATATCTACCTGTCCCCACGTGGATATTAGAAACAATATCCCAGGGGGTCTGTACACCCCCATCAATATTGGGAGTAATGTCATCCTCTCTCCCCTGGATACTAAAAACAATATCACGGGGGGGGGGGGTGTACACCCCCTGCGATTTTGAGAGTAATAGCCCCAAATATCGCAGGGGTTGTACAGCCCCCCTTTGATATTGTTCCTAATATCCAGGGGGGGAGAGGATATTACTCCCAGTGTTGCAAGAGGTGTACATTTCCCTGTGATATTGTTCGTAATATCCAGGGGTATATTAAACCCAATATGGAAAGGGTTGTACACACCCCTGTGATATTTTTCCTAATATTCAGCGGGGGGAGGGGGGAAGAGACTGATATTACACCCTTCCTGTGATATTGTTCCTAATATCTATGGGGGGAGAAAGTAATATGACACCTAATATCGCAGAAAGTGTACACCCCTTCTGTGATATTGTTTCTAATATCCAGGCGGGGGAGAGGATAATATTACTTCCAAAATCGCAGGGAGAGTACAATTCCCCTGTGATATTGTTCCTAATATCTAGGGATGGAAAGGATAATGTTACCCTCAATATCACATGTGGCTTTTAATAACCAGGGCTGGGAGAGAGGGGTGATATTACTTTCCATACGGATGGGGTGGACACCCCCTGGCATATGGCTTTTAATACCCAGGGGGTGAGAGGGGGCTGATGTTACTCCCCATATGGTGAGGGGTGGACACCCCCCTGGCATATGGCTCTTAATACCCATGGAGAGAGACAGGGGTGATATTACTCCCCATATGGCAGGGAGTGGACAGCCCCCTGGCATATGGCTCGTAATACTCAGGGTGGGGAGGGGGGGTGATATTACTCCCCATATGGCGGGGGGTGGACGTTCCCCTGCGATATTGGGAATAATATCACCCCCCTCTCCACCGCTGGATATTACAAACTATATGGCAGGTGGGGTGTACACACCCTGCAGCTTTGGGACTAATATTATCCTCCTCTCTGTTTTTGAATATTAAGTGTAATATTACAGGTGGGATGTACACCCCCAGCGTTATTGGGGGTAATATCATTTTCTCCCCCCTTGGATATTAGCAACAATATCACAGAGGTGGTTTACAACTGCTGCAATATTGAAATTAATATCATCCTGTCCTTACCTAAATATTAGGAACAATATCTTTGGGGTGGTGTACACCCCTTGCAATATTGAAAGTAATAACATCCACTCCGCCTTCCCGTGATTATTAATTACAAGTCACAGGGATGTGTACAACCCCTCGGATATTGTAAGTAATATCATCCTCTCCTCCCCTGTATGTTAGGAAGAATATTACAGGGGTGTGTGTACATCCTCTGCGACATTGGGAGTAATATCATCTTCTCCGCCCTGAATATTAAAAACAATTTCACAGGGGATTGTACACTCCCCGCGATATTTAAAGTAATATCATATTCTTCTTCCCTGGGTATTAAGAACAATATTACGGGGGGGTGTACACCCCCTGCGATATTGGATGTAATATCACCCTCTCTTTCCCTGGATATTAGGAACAATATCAGGCCGGGGGTGTACAACCACTGCGATATTGGGAGTAATATAATCTTCTTTCGCCCCTGGATATTAGGAACAATATCACAATGGTGGTGTGCACAGCCTCCGCTCTTGGAAGTAATATCAACCTCTGCCCCCCGTGAATATCAAAAACAATATCACAGGAGGAGTGTGCAGCCGCAGCACTATTGGGAGTAATATCATCCTCTTTCCCACTGGATATTAAAAACAATATTTCAGGAGGTGTGTACAACCCCTGCGATATTGGGAGTAATAACACCTTCTTACCCATTGGATATTGAGAACAATATCACAAAGGAGGTGTACAAACTTTGCGATATTGTGTGTAATATTAACCTCTCCCAACCTGGATATTAGGAACAATATCATGGGGGGTGGTGTACACCCTTTGTGGTATTCACAGTAATATCATCGTTTCCCCCATTGGCTATTAGGAACAATATCACAAGGTGGGTGTACACCTCCTGTGATATTGGAAGTAAT